>NC_000005.10:46485900-46527027 GCF_000001405.40 Homo sapiens
AGGGTTCTCAGAAACTCCTTTGGATGAGTGTGTTCAATTAACAGAGTTGAACCTTTCTATTGATAGAGCAGTTTTAAAACACTGCTTTTGTAGAATCTGATTGTGGATATTTGGAGCTCTTTGAGGAATTCGTTGTAAATGGAATATCTCCACATACCAACTAGACAGATGCATTCTCCGAAAGTTCACTGGGATGTGTGCATTCAACTCACAGACTTGAAACTTTCTTTTGATAGAGCAGTGTAGAAACACGCTTTTTGTACAACCTGCAAGAGTTCCTTTGGAGCGCTTTGTTGCCTATGGTGGAAAAAGAAATATCTTGAAATAAAAGCTAGACAGAAGCATTCTCAGGAACTTCACTGAGATGTGTGCATTTAACTAACAGAGTTGAATCTGTCTTTAGATAGACCAGCATTTAAGCACTCCTTTTGTAGAATCTGCTTGTGGATACTTGGAACTCTTTGAAGAATTCGTTGGAAACGGGTATCTTCACATGAAAAGTAGACCCAAGCATTCTCAGAAACTTCTTCGTGATATGTGAATTCACCTCTTGGAGTGGAACCCTTCTTTTGATAGAGCGGTTTAGAGGCCGTCTTTTATGAGGATCTGCCAGTTCTCATTTGGAGCGCTTTGAAGCCTATGGTGGAAAAGGAGACATATTCACATAAAAACTAGAAAGAAAGCATTCTCAGGAACTGCTTTGTGATGTGTGCATTCAACTCACGGAACTTGAACCTTCCCTTTGAGAGAGCGGTTTTGAAACAGTCTTTTTGTAGTATCTGAAATTGGATATTTAGAGCGACTTGAGTCCTATGATGGAAAAGGGAATATCCTCACATAAAAATTGGACAGAAGCATTTTCAGAAACTGCCTTGTGATGAGTGCATTCAACTCACAGAGTTGAACCTTCCTTTTGAGAGAGAACTTTCGAAACAGTCTTTTTGTAGTATTTGCAAGTGGATATTTGGAGCGATTTGAGGCCTATGATGGAAAAGGAAATAACTTGAGATACAAATTAGACAGAAGCATTCTCAGAAACTGCTTCGTAACGTGTGCATTCAACTCACAGAGTCGAACCTTCCTTCTGAGAGAGCGGTTTTGAACCAGTCTTTTTGTAGTATCTGCAAGTGGATATTTGCAGTGATTTGAGGCCGAAGAAGGAAAAGGAAATACCTTCAAATAAAAAAACTAGACAGAAGCATTCTCTGAAACTCCTTTGCGATGTGTGTGTTCAATTCACATCGTTGAACCTTTCTTTAGATAGAGCAGTGTTGAAACATCCTTTTTCTAGAATCTGCAAGTGTTCATTTCGAGTACTTTTTTACGTATGTTGGAAAAAGTGATATCTTCACCTGAAAAATAGAGAGAAGCATTCTCAGAAAGTTCGTTGTGATGTGTGCATTCAACTCACAGACTTGAAACTTTCTTTTGATAGAGCAGTGTTGAAACACACTTGTTGTAGAACCCACAAGTATTCATTTGGAGCGCTTTGTTGCCTATGTGGGAAAAGGTAATATCGTCACTTAAACACTAGACAGAAGCCTCCTCAGGAACTTCACTGAGATGTGTGCATTCAACTAACATAGTTGAAACTGTCTTTTGACAGAGCAGGAATGAAACACTCCTTTTGCAGTATCTGACTGTGTATATTTGGAACTCTTTGAGTTATTCGTTGGAAACGGGTATCTTCACATAAAAAGTAGACCCAAGCATTCTGAGGAACTGCTTTGTGATGTGTGCATTCAACTCACACAGTTGAACCTTCCTTTTGAGAGAGCAGTTTTGAATCAATCTTTTGGTAGGACCTGCAAGATTTCATTTGGAGCGCTGTGAAGCCTATGGTGGAAAAGGGAATATCTTCACAAAAAAACTAGGCAGAAGCATTCTCAGAAACTGCTTTGTGATGTGTGCATTCAACTCACAGAGTTGAACCTTCCATTGGAGAGAGCAGTGTTGAAACGGTATTATTGTAGTATCTGCAAGTGGATATTTGGAGCGATTTGAGGCCTATGATGGAAAAGGAAATATCTTCACAAAAAAATTGGCAGAGGCATTCTCAGAAACTCCTTTGTGATGTTTGTGTTCAATTCCCCGAGCTGAACCTTTCCTTTGGTAGAGCAGGTTTGAAGCACTGCTTTTGTAGAATCTGCTTCCAGATATTTAGAGCTCTCGGAGGAATTCGTTGTAAACGGGATATCTTCACATTCTAACTAGACTAGACAGAATCATTCTCAGAAACTGCTTTGTGATGTGTGCAGTCAACTCACAGACTTGGACCTTTCTTTTGATAGAGCAGTGTTAAAACACAGTTTTGGTGAAATCTGCAAGTGTTCATGTGCAGCGTATTGTTAACTATGGTAGAAAAAGAATTATCTTCATAGAAACACTAGACAGAAGCATCCTCAGAAACTGCTTTCTGTTGTGTGCGTTCAACTCACGGACTCGAACCTTTCTTTGGATAGAGCAGTGTTGAAACACACTTTTTGTAGAATCCGCAAGATTTCATTCCGTGTGCTTTGTTGCCTATGGTGGGAAGAAAATATCGTTACATAAAAAGCTAGACAGAAGCATTCTCAAAAACTGCTTTGTGATGTGTGCATTCAACTCACACAGTTGAACCTTCCTTTTGAGAGACCAGTTTTGAAAGTCTTTTTGTAGTATCTGCAAGTGGATCTTTTAGCGATTTGAGGCGATTTAGATGGAAAAGGAAATGACTTCACATACAAACCAGACAGAAGGATTATCAGAAACTGCTTAGGATGTGTGTGTTCAATTAACAGTGTTGAACCTTTCTATTGATAGAGCAGTTTCAAAACACTGCTTTTGTAGAATCTGCTTGTGGATATTTGTAGCTCTTTGAGGAATTCGTTGTAAATGGAGTCTCTTCACATACAAACTAGACAGATGCATTTTCCGAAAGATCACTGGGATGTGTGCAATTCAACTCACAGACTTGAAACTTTCTTTTGATAGAGCAGTGTAGAAACACGCTTTTTGTAGAATCCGCAAGAGTTCCTTTGGAGCGCCTTGTTGCGTATGGTGGAAAAAGAAATATCTTCAAATAAAAACTAGACAGAAGCATTCTCAGGAACTTCACTGAGATGTGTGCATTTAACTAACAGAGTTGAATCTGTCTTTAGATAGACCAGCATTTAAGCACTCCTTTTGTAGAATCTGCTTGTGGATACTTGGAACTCTTTGAAGAATTCGTTGGAAACGGGTATCTTCACATGAAAAGTAGACCCAAGCATTCTAAGAAACTTCTTCGTGATATGTGAATTCACCTCTTGGAGTGGAAACATTCTTTTGATACAGCGGTGTTGAGGCAGTCTTTTATGAGGATCTGCCAGTTCTCATTTGGAGCGCTTTGAAGCCTATGGTGGAAAAGGAGATATATTCACATAAAAACTAGAAAGAAGCATTCTCAGGAACTGCTTTGTGATGTGTGCATTCAACTCACGGACTTGAACCTTCCCTTTGAGAGAGCGGTTTTGAAACAGTCTTTTTGTAGTATCTGAAATTGGATATTTAGAGCGACTTGAGTCCTATGATGGAAAAGGGAATATCCTCACATAAAAATTGGACAGAAGCATTTTCAGAAACTGCCTTGTGATGTGTGCATTCAACTCACAGAGTTGAACCTTCCTTTTGAGAGAGAACTTTCGAAACAGTCTTTTTGCAGTATTTGCAAGTGGATATTTGGAACGATTTGAGGCCTATGATGGAAAAAGAATTAACTTGAGATACAAATTAGACAGAAGCATTCTCATAAACTGCTTCGTAACGTGTGCATTCAACTCACAGAGTCGAACCTTCCTTTTGAGAGAGCGGTTTTGAAACAGTCTTTTTGTAGTATCTGCAAGTGGATATTTGCAGTGATTTGAGGTCGAAGAAGGAAAAGGAAATACCTTCAAATAAAAAACTAGACGGAAGCATTCTCTGAAACTCCTTTGTGATGTGTGTGTCCAATTCACATCGTTGAACCTTTCTTTTGATAGAGCAGTGTTGAAACATACTTTTTGTAGAATCTGCAAGTGTTCATTTCGAGTAATTTTTTACGTATGTTGGAAAAAGTGATATCTTCACCTGAAAAATAGACAGAAGCATTCTCAGAAAGTTCGTTGTGATGTGTGCATTGAACTCACAGACTTGAAACTTTCTTTTGATAGAGCAGTGTTGAAACACACTTTTTGTAGAACCCACAAGTATTCATTTGGAGCGCTTTGTTGCCTATGTGGGAAAAGGTAATATCGTCACTTAAACACTAGACAGAAGCCTCCTCAGGAACTTCACTGAGATGTGTGCATTCAACTAACATAGTTGAAACTGTCTTTTGACAGAGCAGGAATGAAACACTCCTTTTGCAGTATCTGACTGTGTATATTTGGAACTCTTTGAGTTATTCGTTGGAAACGGGTATCTTCACATAAAAAGTAGACCCAAGGATTCTCAGGAACTGCTTTGTGATGTGTGCATTCAACTCACACAGTTGAACCTTCCTTTTGGGAGAGCAGTTTTGAATCAGTCTTTTTGTAGGACCTGCAAGTTTTCATTTGGAGCGCTGTGAAGCCTATGGTGGAAAAGGGAATATCTTCACAAAAAACTAGGCAGAAGTATTCTCAGAAACTGCTTTGTGATGTGTGCATTCAACTCACAGAGTTGAACCTTCCATTGGAGAGAGCAGTGTTGAAACGGTATTTTTGTAGTATCTGCAAGTGGATATTTGGAGCGATTGGAGGCCTATGATGGAAAAGGAAATATCTTCACATACAAACTAGACAGAAGCAGTCTCAGGAACTGCTTTGTGATGTGTGCATTCAACTCACAGATTTGAACTTTCCTTTTGAGAGAGAGGTTTTGAAACAGACTTTTTGTAGTATCTGCAAGTGGATATTTGTAGTGATTTGGGGCCTAAGATGGAAAAGGAAATACCTTCACGTACAAACTAGACAGAAGCATTCTCAGAAACTCCTTTGTGATGTTTGTGTTCAATTCCCCGAGCTGAACCTTTCCTTTGACAGAGCAGGTTTGAAGCACTGCTTTTGTGGAATCTGCTTCCAGATATTTAGAGCTCTCGGAGGGATTCGTTGTAAACGGGACACCTTCACATTCTAACTAGACTAGACAGAATCATTCTCAGAAACTGCTTTGTGATGTGCGAAGTCAACTCACAGTCTTGGACCTCTGTTTTGATAGAGCAGTGTTAAAACACAGATTTGGTGAAATCTGCAAGTGTTCATTTGCAGCGTATTGTTGCCTATGGTAGAAAAAGAATTATCTTCATAGAAACACTAGACAGAAGCATCCTCAGAAACTGCTTTCTGTTGTGTGCGTTCAACTCACGGACTCGAACCTTTCTTTGGATAGAGCGGTGTTGAAACACACTTTTTGTAGGATCCGCAAGATTTCGTTCCGTGTGCTTTGTTGCCTCTGGTGGAAAGAAAATATCATTACATAAATAGCTAGACAGAAGCATTCTCAGAAACTGCTATGTGATGTGTGTATTCAACTCACACAGTTGAAACTTCCTTTTGAGAGAGCAGTTTTGAAAGTCTTTTTGTAGTATCTGCAAGTGGATCTTTTAGCGATTTGAGGTGATTTAGATGGAAAAGGAAATGACTTCACATACAAACCAGACAGAAGGATTCTCAGAAACTCCTTTGGATGTGTGTGCTCAATTAACAGAGTTGAACCTTTCTATTGACAGAGCAGTTTCAAAACACTGCTTTTGTAGACTCTGCTTGTGGATAATTGGAGCTCTTTGAGGAATTCGTTGTAAATGGAATCTCTTCACATGCAAACTAGACAGATGCATTTTCTGAAAGTTCACTGGGATGTGTGCAATTCCACTCACAGACTTGAAGCTTTCTTTTGATAGAGCAGTGTAGAAACACGCTTTTTGTAGAATCCGCAAGAGTTCCTTTGGAGCGCTCTGTTGCCTATGGTGGAAAAAGAAATATCTTCAAATGAAAACTAGACAGAAGCATTCTCAGGAACTTCACTGAGATGTGTGCATTTAACTAACAGAGTTGAATCTGTCTTTAGATAGACCAGCATTTAAGCACTCCTTTTGCAGAATCTGCTTGTGGATACTTGGAACTCTTTGAAGAATTCGTTGGAAACGGGTATCTTCCCATGAAAACTAGACCCAAGCATTCTCAGAAACTTCTTCGTGATATGTGAATTCACCTCTTGGAGTGGAACCCTTCTTTTGATAGAGCGGGTTTGAGGCCGTCTTTTATGAGGATCTGCCAGTTCTCATTTGGAGCGCTTTGAAGCCTATGGTGGAAAAGGAGATACATTCACATAAGAACTAGAAAGAAGCATTCTCAGGAACTGCTTTGTGATGTGTGCATTCAACTCACGGACTTGAACCTTCCCTTTGAGAGAGCAGTTTTGAAACAGTCTTTTTGTAGTATCTGAAATTGGATATTTAGAGCGACTTGAGGCCTATGATGGAAAAGGGAATATCTTCACATACAAATTGGACAGAAGCATTTTCAGAAACTGCCTTGTGATGTGTGCATTCAACTCACAGAGTTGAACCTTCCTTTTGAGAGAGAAGTTTTGAAACAGTCTTTTGGTAGTATTTGGAAGTGGATATGTGGAGCGATTTGAGGCCTATGATGGAAAAGGAAATAACTTCAGATACAAACTAGACAGAAGCATTCTCAGAAACTGCTTTGTAACATGTGCATTCAACTCACAGAGTTGAACCTTCCTTTTGAGAGAGCGGTTTTGAAACAGTCTTTTTGTAGTATCTGCAAGTGGATATTTGCAGTGATTTGAGGCCGAAGAAGCAAAAGGAAATACCTTCAAATAAAAAAACTAGACGGAAGCATTCTCTGAAACTCCTTTGTGATGTGTGTGTTCAATTCACATCGTTGAACCTTTCTTTTGATAGAGCCATGTTGAAACATACTTTTTGTAGAATCTGCAAGTGTTCATTTCGAGTACTTTTTTACGTATGTTGGAAAAAGTGATATCTTCACCTGAAAAATAGACAGAAGCATTCTCAGAAAGTTCGTTGTGATGTGTGCATTCAACTCACAGACTTGAAACTTTCTTTTGATAGAGCAGTGTTGAAACACACTTTTTGTAGAACCCCCAAGTATTCATTTGGAGCGCTTTGTTGCCTATGTGGGAAAAGGTAATATCGTCACTTAAACCCTAGACAGAAGCCTTCTCAGGAACTACACTGAGATGTGTGCATTCAACTAACAGAGTTGAAACTGTCTTTTGACAGAGTAGGAGTGAAACACTCCTTTTGCAGTACCTGACTGTGTATATTTGGAACTCTTTGTGTTATTCATTGGAAACGGGTATCTTCACATAAAAAGTAGACCCAAGCATTCTCAGGAACTGCTTTGTGATGTGTGCATTCAACTCACACAGTTGAACCTTCCTTTTGAGAGAGCAGTTTGGAATCAGTCTTTTGGTAGGACCTGCAAGTTTTCATTTGGAGCGCTGTGAAGCCTATGGTGGAAAAGGGAATATCTTCACAAAAAACTAGGCAGAAGCATTCTCAGAAACTACTTTCTGATGTGTGCATTCAACTCACAGAGTTGAACCTTCCATTTGAGAGAGCAGTGTTGAAACGGTATTTTTGAATTATCTACAATTGGATATTTGGAGCGATTTGAGGCCTATGATGGAAAAGGAAATATCTTCACATACAAACTAGACAGAAGCATTCTCAGAAACTCCTTTGTGATGTTTGTGTTCAATTCCCCGAACTGAACCTTTCCTTTGATAGAGCAGGTTTGAAGCACTGCTTTTGTGGAATCTGCTTCCAGATATTTAGAGCTCTCGGAGGAATTCATTGTAAACGGGACATCTTCACATTCTAACTAGACTAGACAGAATCATTCTCAGAAACTGCTTTGTGATGTGTGCAGTCCACTCACAGACTTGGACCTTTGTTTTGATAGAGCAGTGTTAAAACACAGTTTTTGTGAAATCTGCAAGTGTTCCTTTGCAGCGTATTGTTGCCTATGGTAGAAAAAGAATTATCTTCATAGAAACACTAGACAGAAGCATCCTCAGAAACTGCTTTCTGTTGTGTGCGTTCAACTCACGGACTCGAACCTTTCTTTGGATAGAGCAGTGTTGAAACACACTTTTTGTAGAATCCGCAAGATTTCATTCCGTGTGCTTTGTTGCCTATGGTGGAAAGAAAATATCGTTACATAAAAAGCTAGACAGAAGCGTTCTCAAAAACTGCTATGTGATGTGCGCATTCAACTCACACATTTGAACATTCCTTTTGAGAGAGCAGTTTTGAAAGTCTTTTTGTAGTATCTGCGAGTGGATCTTTTAGCGATTTGAGGCGATTTAGATGGAAAAGGAAATGACTTCACATACAAACCAGACGGAAGGATTCTCAGAAACTCCTTAGGCTGTGTGTGTTCAAATAACAGAGTTGAACCTTTCTATTGATAGAGCAGTTTCAAAACACTGCTTTTGTAGAATCTGCTTGTGGATATTTGGAGCTCTTTGAGGAATTCGTTGTAAATGGAATCTCTTCACATACAAACTAGACAGATGCATTTTCCGAAAGATCACTGGGATGTGTGCAATTCAACTCACAGACTTGAAACTTTCTTTTGATAGAGCAGTGTAGAAACACGCTTTTTGTAGAATCCGCAAGAGTTCCTTTGGAGCGCCTTGTTGCGTATGGTGGAAAAAGAAATATCTTCAAATAAAAACTAGACAGAAGCATTCTCAGGAACTTCACTGAGATGTGTGCATTTAACTAACAGAGTTGAATCTGTCTTTAGATAGACCAGCATTTAAGCACTCCTTTTGTAGAATCTGCTTGTGGATACTTGGAACTCTTTGAAGAATTCGTTGGAAACGGGTATCTTCACATGAAAAGTAGACCCAAGCATTCTCAGAAACTTCTTCGTGATATGTGAATTCACCTCTTGGAGTGGAACCATTCTTTTGATAGAGCGGTTTAGAGGCCATCTTTTATGAGGATCTGCCAGTTCTCATTTGGAGCGCTTTGAAGCCTATGGTGGAAAAGGAGATATATTCACATAAAAACTAGAAAGAAGCATTC
Source organism: Homo sapiens (assembly GCF_000001405.40). Lineage (NCBI taxonomy): Eukaryota > Metazoa > Chordata > Mammalia > Primates > Hominidae > Homo > Homo sapiens. The sequence continues at coordinate 46,494,965 of NC_000005.10, forward strand.
TCAGGAACTGCTTTGTGATGTGTGCATTCAACTCACGGACTTGAACCTTCCCTTTGAGAGAGCGGTTTTGAAACAGTCTTTTTGTAGTATCTGAATTTGGATATTTAGAGCGACTTGAGTCATATGATGGAAAAGGGAATATCCTCACATAAAAATTGGACAGAAGCATTTTCAGAAATTGCCTTGTGACGTGTGCATTCAACTCACAGAGTTGAACCTTCGTTTTGAGAGAGAACTTTTGAAACAGTCTTTTTGTAGTATCTGCAAATGCATATTTGGAGCGAATTGAGTCCTATGATGGAAAAGGAAATAACTTCACATACAAATTAGACAGAAGCATTCTCAGAAACTGCTGCGTAACGTGTGCATTCAACTCACGGAGTCGAACCTTCCTTTTGAGAGAGCGGTTTTGAAACAGTCTTTTTGTAGTATCTGCAAGTGGATATTTGCAGTGATTTGAGGCCGAAGAAGGAAAAGGAAATACCTTCAAATAAAAAACTAGACGGAAGCATTCTCTGAAACTCCTTTGTGATGTGTGTGTTCAATTCACATCGTTGAACCTTTCTTTAGATAGAGCAGTGTTGAAACATCCTTTTTCTAGAATCTGCAAGTGTTCATTTCGAGTACTTTTTTACGTATGTTGGAAAAAGTGATATCTTCACCTGAAAAATAGAGAGAAGCATTCTCAGAAAGTTCGTTGTGATGTGTGCATTCAACTCACAGACTTGAAACTTTCTTTTGATAGAGCAGTGTTGAAACACACTTGTTGTAGAACCCCCAAGTATTCATTTGGAGCGCTTTGTTGCCTATGTGGGAAAAGGTAATATCGTCACTTAAACACTAGACAGAAGCCTCCTCAGGAACTTCACTGAGATGTGTGCATTCAACTAACATAGTTGAAACTGTCTTTTGACAGAGCAGGAATGAAACACTCCTTTTGCAGTATCTGACTGTGTATATTTGGAACTCTTTGAGTTATTCGTTGGAAACGGGTATCTTCACATAAAAAGTAGACCCAAGCATTCTCAGGAACTGCTTTGTGATGTGTGCATTCAACTCACACAGTTGAACCTTCCTTTTGAGAGAGCAGTTTTGAATCAGTCTTTTTGTAGGACCTGCAAGTTTTCATTTGGAGCGCTGTGAAGCCCATGGTTGAAAAGGGAATATCTTCACAAAAAACTAGGCAGAAACATTCTCAGAAACTGCTTTGTGATGTGTGCATTCAACTCACAGAGTTGAACCTTCCATTGGAGAGAGCAGTGTTGAAACGGTATTATTGTAGTATCTGCAAGTGGATATTTGGAGCGATTTGAGGCCTATGATGGAAAAGGAAATATCTTCACAAAAAAATTGGCAGAGGCATTCTCAGAAACTCTTTGTGATGTTTGTGTTCAATTCCCCGAGCTGAACCTTTCCTTTGGTAGAGCAGGTTTGAAGCACTGCTTTTGTAGAATCTGCTTCCAGATATTTAGAGCTCTCGGAGGAATTCGTTGTAAACGGGATATCTTCACATTCTAACTAGACTAGACAGAATCATTCTCCGAAACTGCTTTGTGATGTGTGCAGTCAACTCACAGACTTGGACCTTTGTTTTGATAGTGCAGTGTTAAAACACAGTTTCTGTGAAATCTGCAAGTGTTCATTTGCAGCGTATTGTTGCCTATGGTAGAAAAAGAATTATCTTCATAGAAACACTAGACAGAAGCATCCTCAGAAACCGCTTTCTGTTGTGTGCGTTCAACTCACGGACTCGAACCTTTCTTTGGATAGAGCAGTGTTGAAACACACTTTTTGCAGAATCTGCAAGTTTTCATTCCGTGTGCTTTGTTGCCTATGGTGGAAAGAAAATATCGTTACATAAAAAGCTAGACAGAAGCGTTCTCAAAAACTGCTATGTGATGTGCGCATTCAACTCACACAGTTGAACCTTCCTTTTGAGAGAGCAGTTTTGAAAGTCTTTTTGTAGTATCTGCGAGTGGATCTTTTAGCGATTTGAGGCGATTTAGATGGAAAAGGAAATGACTTCACATACAAACCAGACAGAAGGTTTCTCAGAAACTCCTTAGGATGTGTGTGTTCAATTAACAGAGTTGAACCTTTCTATCGATAGAGCAGTTTCAAAACACTGCTTTTGTAGAATCTGCTTGTGGATATTTGGAGCTCTTTGAGGAATTCGTTGTAAATGGAATCTCTTCACATACAAACTAGACAGATGCATTCTCCGAAAGTTCACTGGGATGTGTGCATTCAACTCACAGACTTGAAACTTTCTTTTGATAGAACAGTGTAGAAACACGCTTTTTTTAGAATCTGCAAGAGTTCCCTTGGAGCGCTTTGTTGCCTATGGTGGAAAAAGAAATATCTTCAAATAAAAACTAGACAGAAGCATTCTCAGGAACTTCACTGAGATGTGTGCATTTAACTAACAGAGTTGAATCTGTCTTTAGATAGACCAGCATTTAAGCACTCCTTTTGTAGAATCTGCTTGTGGATACTTGGAACTCTTTGAAGAATTCGTTGGAAACGGGTATCTTCACATGAAAAGTAGACCCAAGCATTCTCAGAAACTTCTCCGTGATATGTGAATTCACCTCTTGGAGTGGAACCCTTCTTTTGATAGAGCGGTTTTGAGGCCGTCTTTTATGAGGATCTGCCAGTTCTCATTTGGAGCGCTGTGAAGCCTATGGTGGAAAAGGAGATACATTCACATAAGAACTAGAAAGAAGCATTCTCAGGAACTGCTTTGTGATGTGTGCATTCAACTCACGGACTTGAACCTTCCCTTTGAGAGAGCAGTTTTGAAACAGTCTTTTTGGAGTATCTGAAATTGGATATTTAGAGCGACTTGAGTCCTATGATGGAAAAGGGAAAATCTTCACATAAAAGTTGGACAGAAGCATTTTCAGAAACTGCCTTGTGATGTGTGCATTCAACTCACAGAGTTGAACCTTCCTTTTGAGAGAGAACTTTTGAAACAGTCTTTTTGTAGTATTTGCAAGTGGATATTTGGAGCGATTTGAGGCCTATGATGGAAAAGGAAATAACTTCAGAAACAAACTAGACAGAAGCATTCTCAGAAACTGCTTCGTAACGTGTGCATTCAACTCACGGAGTCGAACCTTCCTTTTGAGAGAGCGGTTTTGAAACAGTCTTCTTGTAGTATCCGCAAGTGGATATTTGCAGTGATTTGAGGCCGAAGAAGGAAAAGGAAATACCTTCAAATAAAAAGCTAGACGGAAGCATTCTCTGAAACTCCTTTGTGATGTGTGTGTTCAATTCACATCGTTGAACCTTTCTTTTGATAGAGCAGTGTTGAAACATCCTTTTTGTAGAATCTGCAAGTGTTCATTTCGAGTACTTTTTTACGTATGTTGGAAAAAGTGATATCTTCACCTGAAAAATAGACAGAAGCATTCTCAGAAAGTTCGTTGTGATGTGTGCATTCAACTCACAGACTCGAAAGTTTCTTTTGATAAAGCAGTGTTGAAACACACTTTTTGTAGAACCCACAAGTATTCATTTGGAGCGCTTTGTTGCCTATGTGGGAAAAGGTAACATCGTCACTTAAACACTAGACAGAAGCCTTCTCAGGAACTTCATTGAGATGTGTGCCTTCAACTAACAGAGTTGAAACTGTCTTTTGACAGAGCAGGAGTGAAACACTCCTTTTGCTGTATCTGACTGTGTATATTTGGAACTCTTTGAGTTATTCGTTGGAAACGGGTATCTTCACATAAAAAGTAGACCCAAGCATTCTCAGGAACTGCTTTGTGATGTGTGCATTCAACTCACACAGTTGAACCTTCCTTTTGGGAGAGCAGTTTTGAATCAGTCTTTTTGTAGGACCTGCAAGTTTTCATTTGGAGCGCTGTGAAGCCTATGGTGGAAAAGGGAATATCTTCACAAAAAACTAGGCAGAAGCATTCTCAGAAACTGCTTTGTGATGTGTGCATTCAACTCACAGAGTTGAACCTTCCATTGGAGAGAGCAGTGTTGAAACGGTATTTTTGTAGTATCTGCAAGTGGATATTTGGAGCGATTTGAGGCCTATGATGGAAAAGGAAATATCTTCACATACAAACTAGACAGAAGCATTCTCAGAAACTCCTTTGTGATGTTTGTGTTCAATTCCCCGAGCTGAACCTTTCCTTTGATAGAGCAGGTTTGAAGCACTGCTTTTGTGGAATCTGCTTCCAGATATTTAGAGCTCTCGGAGGAATTCGTTGTAAACGGGACATCTTCACATTCTAACTAGACTAGACAGAATCATTCTCCGAAACTGCTTTGTGATGTGTGCAGTCAACTCACAGACTTGGACCTTTGTTTTGATAGAGCAGTGTTAAAACACAGTTTCTGTGAAATCTGCAAGTGTTCATTTGCAGCGTATTGTTGCCTATGGTAGAAAAAGAATTATCTTCATAGAAACACTAGACAGAAGCATCCTCAGAAACTGCTTTCTGTTGTGTGCGTTCAACTCACGGACTCGAACCTTTCTTTGGATAGAGCGGTGTTGAAACACACTTTTTGTAGAATCCGCAAGATTTCATTCCGTGTGCTTTGTTGCCTCTGGTGCAAAGAAAATATCGTTACATAAAAAGCTAGACAGAAGCGTTCTCAAAAACTGCTATGTGATGTGCGCATTCAACTCACACAGTTGAACCTTCCTTTTGAGAGAGCAGTTTTGAAAGTCTTTTTGTAGTATCTGCGAGTGGATCTTTTAGCGATTTGAGGCGATTTAGATGGAAAAGGAAATGACTTCACATACAAACCAGACGGAAGGTTTCTCAGAAACTCCTTAGGATGTGTGTGTTCAATTAACAGTGTTGAACCTTTCTATCGATAGAGCAGTTTCAAAACACTGCTTTTGTAGAATCTGCTTGTGGATATTTGGAGCTCTTTGAGGAATTCATTGTAAATGGAATCTGTTCACATACAAACTAGACAGATGCATTTTCCGAAAGTTCACTGGGATGTGTGCAATTCAACTCACAGACTTGAAACTTTCTTTGGATAGAGCAGTGTGGAAACACGCTTTTTGTAGAATCCGCAAGAGTTCCTTTGGAGCGCTTTGTTGCCTACGGTGGAAAAAGAAATATCTTCAAATAAAAACTAGACAGAAGCATTCTCAGGAACTTCACTGAGACGTGTGCATTTAACTAACAGAGTTGAATCTGTCTTTAGATAGACCAGCATTTAAGCACTCCTTTTGTAGAATCTGCAGGTGGATATTTGGAACTCTTTGAAGAATTCGTTGGAAACGGGTATCTTCACATGAAAAGTAGACCCAAGCATTCTCAGAAACTTCTTCGTGATATGTGAATTCACCTCTTGGAGTGGAACCCTTCTTTTGATAGAGCGGTTTTGAGGCAGTCTTTTATGAAGATCTGCCAGTTCTCATTTGGAGCGCTTTGAAGCCTATGGTGGAAAAGGAGATATGTTCACATAAAAACTAGAAAGAAGCATTCTCAGGAACTGCTTTGTGATGTGTACATTCAACTCACGGACTTGAACCTTCCCTTTGAGAGAGCAGTTTAGAAACAGTCTTTTTGTAGTATCTGAAATTGGATATTTAGAGCGACTTGAGTCCTGTGATGGAAAAGGGAATATCCTCACATAAAAATTGGACAGAAGCATTTTCAGAAACTGCCTTGTGATGTGTGCATTCAACTCACAGAGTTGAACCTTCCTTTTGAGAGAGAACTTTTGAAACAGTCTTTTTGTAGTATTTGCAAGTGGATATTTGGAGCGATTTGAGGCCTATGATGGAAAAGGAAATAACTTCAGAAACAAACTAGACAGAAGCATTCTCAGAAACTGCTTCGTAACGTGTGCATTCAACTCACGGAGTCGAACCTTCCTTTTGAGAGAGCGGTTTTGAAACAGTCTTCTTGTAGTATCCGCAAGTGGATATTTGCAGTGATTTGAGGCCGAAGAAGGAAAAGGAAATACCTTCAAATAAAAAGCTAGACGGAAGCATTCTCTGAAACTCCTTTGTGATGTGTGTGTTCAATTCACATCGTTGAACCTTTCTTTTGATAGAGCAGTGTTGAAACATCCTTTTTCTAGAATCTGCAAGTGTTCATTTCGAGTACTTTTTTACGTATGTTGGAAAAAGTGATATCTTCACCTGAAAAATAGACAGAAGCATTCTCAGAAAGTTCGTTGTGATGTGTGCATTCAACTCACAGACTGGAAACTTTCTTTTGATAGAGCAGTGTTGAAACACACTTCTTGTAGAACCCACAAGTATTCATTTGGAGCGCTTTGTTGCCTATGTGGGAAAAGGTAATATCGTCACCTAAACACTAGACAGAAGCCTTCTCAGGAACTTCATTGAGATGTGTGCATTCAACTAACAGAGTTGAAACTGTCTTTTGACAGAGCAGGAGTGAAACACTCCTTTTGCAGTACCTGACTGTGTATATTTGGAACTCTTTGAGTTATTCGTTGGAAACGGGTATCTTCACATAAAAAGTAGACCCAAGCATTCTCAGGAACTGCTTTGTGATGTGTGCATTCAACTCACACAGTTGAACCTTCCTTTTGGGAGAGCAGTTTTGAATCAGTCTTTTTGTAGGACCTGCAAGTTTTCATTTGGAGCGCTGTGAAGCCTATGGTGGAAAAGGGAATATCTTCACAAAAAACTAGGCAGAAGCATTCTCAGAAACTGCTTTGTGATGTGTGCATTCAACTCACAGAGTTGAACCTTCCATTGGAGAGAGCAGTGTTGAAACGGTATTTTTGTAGTATCTGCAAGTGGATATTTGGAGCGATTTGAGGCCTATGATGGAAAAGGAAATATCTTCACATACAAACTAGACAGAAGCATTCTCAGAGACACCTTTGTGATGTTTGCGTTCAATTCCCCGAGTTGAACCTTTCCTTTGATAGAGCAGGTTTGAAGCACTGCTTTTGTAGAATCTGCTTCCACACATTTAGAGCTCTCAGAGGAATTCGTTGTAAACAGGACATCTTCACATTCTAACTAGACTAGACAGAATCATTCTCCGAAACTGCTTTGTGATGTGTGCCGTCAACTCACAGACTTGGACCTTTGTTTTGATAGAGCAGTGTTAAAACACAGTTTCTGTGAAATCTGCAAGTGTTCATTTGCAGCGTATTGTTGCCTATGGTAGAAAAAGAATTATCTTCATAGAAACACTAGACAGAAGCATCCTCAGAAACTGCTTTCTGTTGTGTGCGTTCAACTCACGGACTCGAACCTTTCTTTGGATAGAGCAGTGTTGAAACACGCTTTTTGCAGATTCTGCAAGTTTTCATTCCGTGTGCTTTGTTGCCTATGGTGGAAAGAAAATATCGTTACATAAAAAGCTAGACAGAAGCCTTCTCAGAAACTGCTATGTGATGTGTGTATTCAACTCACACAGTTGAAACTTCCTTTTGAGAGAGCAGTTTTGAAAGTCTTTTTGTAGTATCTGCAAGTGGATCTTTTAGCGATTTGAGGCGATTTAGATGGAAAAGGAAATGACTTCACATACAAACCAGTCAGAAGGATTCTCAGAAACCCCTTTGGATGTGTGAGTTCAATTAACAGAGTAGAACCTTTCTATTGATAGATCAGTTTTAAAACACTGCTTTTGTAGAATCTGCTTGTGGATATTTGGAGCTCTTTGAGGAATTCGTTGTAAATGGAATACCTTCATATACAAACTAGACAGATGCATTTTCTGAAAGTTCACTGGGATGTGTGCAATTCCACTCACAGACTTGAAGCTTTCTTTTGATAGAGCAGTGTAGAAATACGCTTTTTGTAGAATCCGCAAGAGTTCCTTTGGAGCGCTCTGTTGCCTATGGTGGAAAAAGAAATATCTTCAAATGAAAACTAGACAGAAGCATTCTCAGGAACTTCACTGAGATGTGTGCATTTAACTAACAGAGTTGAATCTGTCTTTAGATAGACCAGCATTTAAGCACTCCTTTTGTAGAATCTGCTTGTGGATACTTGGAACTCTTTGAAGAAGTCGTTGGAAACGGTTATCTTCACATGAAAAGTAGACCCAAGCATTCTCAGAAACTTCTTCGTGATATGTGAATTCACCTCTTGGAGTGGAACCCTTCTTTTGATAGAGCGGTTTAGAGGCCGTCTTTTATGAGGATCTGCCAGTTCTCATTTGGAGCGCTTTGAAGCCTATGGTGGAAAAGGAGACATATTCACATAAAAACTAGAAAGAAGCATTCTCAGGAACTGCTTTGTGATGTGTGCATTCAACTCACGGACTTGAACCTTCCCTTTGAGAGAGCGGTTTTGAAACAGTCTTTTTGTAGTATCTGAAATTGGATATTTAGAGCGACTTGAGTCCTATGATGGAAAAGGGAATATCCTCACATAAAAATTGGACAGAAGCATTTTCAGAAACTGCCTTGTGATGTGTGCATTGAACTCACAGAGTTGAACCTTCCTTTTGAGAGAGAAGTTTTGAAACAGTCTTTTGGTAGTATTTGCAAGTGGATATGTGGAGCGATTTGAGGCCTATGATGGAAAAGGAAATAACTTCAGGTACAAACTAGACAGAAGCATTCTCAGAAACTGCTTCGTAACGTGTGCATTCAACTCACAGAGTCGAACCTTCCTTTTGAGAGAGCGGTTTTGAAACAGTCTTTTTGTAGTATCTGCAAGTGGATATTTGCAGTGATTTGAGGCCGAAGAAGGAAAAGGAAATACCTTCAAATAAAAAACTAGACGGAAGCATTCTCTGAAAATCCTTTGTGATGTGTGTGTTCAATTCACATCGTTGAACCTTTCTTTTGATAGAGCAGTGTTGAGACATCCTTTTTGTAGAATCTGCAAGTGTTCATTTCGAGTACTTTTTTACGTATGTTGGAAAAAGTGATATCTTCACCTGAAAAATAGACAGAAGCATTCTCAGAAAGTTCGTTGTGATGTGTGCATTCAACTCACAGACTTGAAACTTTCTTTTGATAGAGCAGTGTTGAAACACACTTTTTGTAGAACCCCCAAGTATTCGTTTGGAGCGCTTTGTTGCCTAGGTGGGAAAAGGTAATATCGTCACTTAAACCCTAGACAGAAGCCTTCTCAGGAACTTCATTGAGATGTGTGCATTCAACTAACAGAGTTGAAACTGTCTTTTGACAGAGCAGGAGTGAAACACTCCTTTTGCAGTACCTGACTGTGTATATTTGGAACTCTTTGAGTTATTCGTTGGAAACGGGTATCTTCACATAAAAAGTAGACCCAAGCATTCTCAGGAACTGCTTTGTGATGTGTGCATTCAACTCACACAGTTGAACCTTCCTTTTGGGAGAGCAGTTTTGAATCAGTCTTTTTGTAGGACCTGCAAGTTTTCATTTGGAACGCTGTGAAGCCTATGGTGGAAAAGGGAATATCTTCACAAAAAACTAGGCAGAAGTATTCTCAGAAACTCCATTGTGATGTGTGCACTCAACTCACAGAGTTGAACCTTCCTTTTGAGAGAACAGTTTTGAAACAGTCTTCTTGTAATGTCTGCAAGTGGATATTTGGAGCGACTTGAGGCCTATGATGGAAAAGGGAATATCTTCACATAAAAATAGGACAGAAGCAGTCTCAGGAACTGCTTTGTGATGTGTGCATTCAACTCACAGATTTGAACTTTCCTTTTGAGAGGGAGGTTTTGAAACAGTCTTTTTGTAGTATCTGCAAGTGGATATTTGTAGTGACTTGGGGCCTCAGATGGAAAAGGAAATACCTTCACATACAAAGTAGACAGAAGCATTCTCAGAAACTCCTTTGTGATGCTTGTGTTCAATTCCCGGAGCTGAACCTTTCCTTTGATAGAGCAGGTTTGAAGCACTGCTTTTGTAGAATCTGCTTCCAGATATTTAGAGCTCTCGGAGGAATTCTTTGTAAACGGGATATCTTCACATTCTAACTAGACTAGACAGAATCATTCTCCGAAACTGCTTTGTGATGTGTGCCGTCAACTCACAGACTTGGACCTTTGTTTTGATAGAGCAGTGTTAAAACACAGTTTCTGTGAAATCTGCAAGGGTTCATTTGCAGCGTATTGTTGCCTATGGTAGAAAAAGAATTATCTTCATAGAAACACTAGACAGAAGCATCCTCAGAAACTGCTTTCTGTTGTGTGTGTTCAACTCACGGTCTCGAACCTTTATTTGGATAGAGCAGTGTTGAAACACACTTTTTGTAGAATCTGCAATTTTTCATTCCTTGTGCTTTGTTGCCTATGGTGGAAAGAAAATATCGTTACTTAAAAAGGTAGACAGAAGCATTCTCAAAAACTGCTATGTGATGTGTGCATTCAACTCACACAGTTGAACCTTCCTTTTGAGAGAGCAGTTTTGAAAGTCTTTTTGTAGTATCTGCGAATGGATCTTTTAGCGATTTGAGGCCATTTAGATGGAAAAGGAAATGACTTCACATACAAACCAGACAGAAGGATTCTCAGAAACTCCTTAGGATGTGTGTGTTCAATTAACAGAGTTGAACCTTTCTATTGATAGAGCAGTTTCAAAACACTGCTTTTGTAGAATCTGCTTGTGGATATTTGGAGCTCTCTGAGGAATTCGTTGTAAATGGAATCTCTTCACATACAAACTAGACAGATGCATTTTCCGAAAGTTCACTGGGATGTGTGCAATTCAACTCACAGACTTGAAAATTCTTTTGATAGAGCAGTGTAGAAACATGCTTTTTGTAGAATCCGCAAGAGTTCCTTTGGAGCGCTTTGTTGCCTATGGTGGAAAAAGAAATATCTTCAAATAAAAACTAGACAGAAGCATTCTCAGGAACTTCACTGAGATGTGTGCATTTAACTAACAGAGTTGAATCTGTCTTTAGATAGACCAGCATTTAAGCACTCCTTTTGCAGAATCTGCTTGTGGATACTTGGAACTCTTTGAAGAATTCGTTGGAAACGGGTATCTTCCCATGAAAACTAGACCCAAGCATTCTCAGAAACTTCTTCGTGATATGTGAATTCACCTCTTGGAGTGGAACCCTTCTTTTGATAGAGCGGTTTTGAGGCCGTCTTTTATGAGGATCTGCCAGTTCTCATTTGGAGCGCTTTGAAGCCTGTGGTGGAAAAGGAGATACATTCACATAAGAACTAGAAAGAAGCATTCTCAGGAACTGCTTTGTGATGTGTGCATTCAACTCACGGACTTGAACCTTCTTTTTGAGAGAGCAGTTTTGAAAGAGTCTTTTTGTAGTATCTGAAATTGGATATTTAGAGCGACTTGAGGACTATGATGGAAAAGGGAATATCTTCACATACAAATTGGACAGAAGCATTTTCAGAAACTGCCTTGTGATGTGTGCATTCAACTCACAGAGTTGAACCTTCCTTTTGAGAGAGAACTTTTGAAACAGTCTTTTTGTAGTATTTGCAAGTGGATATTTGGAGCGATTTGAGGCCTATGATGGAAAAGGAAATAACTTCAGATACAAACTAGACAGAAGCATTCTCAGAAACTGCTTCGTAACGTGTGCATTCAACTCACAGAGTCGAACCTTCCTTTTGAGAGAGCGGTTTTGAAACAGTCTTTTTGTAGTGTCTGCAAGTGGATATTTGCAGTGATTTGAGGCCGAAGAAGGAAAAGGAAATACCTTCAAATAAAAAACTAGACGGAAGCATTCTCTGAAACTCCTTTGTGATGTGTGTGTTCAATTCACATCGTTGAACCTTTCTTTTGATAGAGCAGTGTTGAAACATACTTTTTGTAGAATCTGCAAGTGTTCATTTCGAGTACTTTTTTACGTATGTTGGAAAAAGTGATATCTTCACCTGAAAAATAGACAGAAGCATTCTCAGAAAGTTCGTTGTGATGTGTGCATTCAACTCACAGACTTGAAACTTTCTTTTGATAGAGCAGTGTTGAAGCACACTTTTTGTAGAACCCCCAAGTATTCATTTGGAGCGCTTTGTTGCCTATGTGGGAAAAGGTAATATCGTCACTTAAACACTAGACAGAAGCCTTCTCAGGAACTTCATTGAGATATGTGCCTTCAACTAACAGAGTTGAAACTGTCTTTTGACAGAGCAGGAGTGAAACACTCCTTTTGCTGTATCTGACTGTGTATATTTGGAACTCTTTGAGTTATTCGTTGGAAACGGGTATCTTCACATAAAAAGTAGACCCAAGCATTCTCAGGAACTGCTTTGTGATGTGTGCATTCAACTCACACAGTTGAACCTTCCTTTTGAGAGAGCAGTTTGGAATCAGTGTTTTGGTAGGACCTGCAAGTTTTCATTTGGAGCGCTGTGAAGCCTATGGTGGAAAAGGGAATATCTTCACAAAATCTAGGCAGAAGCATTCTCAGAAACTGCTTTGTGATGTGTGCATTCAACTCACAGAGTTGAACCTTCCATTGGAGAGAGCAGTGTTGAAACGGTATTTTTGGAGTATCTGCAAGTGGATATTTGGAGCGATTTGAGGCCTATGATGGAAAAGGAAATATCTTCACATACAAACTAGACAGAGGCATTCTCAGAAACTCCTTTGTGATGTTTGTGTTCAATTCCCCGAGCTGAACCTTTCCTTTGATAGAGCAGGTTTGAAGCACTGCTTTTGTAGAATCTGCTTCCAGATATTTAGAGCTCTCGGAGGAATTCGTTGTAAACGGGATATCTTCACATTCTAACTAGACTAGACAGAATCATTCTCAGAAACTGCTTTGTGATGTGTGCAGTCAACTCACAGACTTGGACCTTTGTTTTGATAGAGCAGTGTTAAAACACAGTTTTTGTGAAATCTGCAAGTGTTCATTTGCAGCGTATTGTTGCCTATGGTAGAAAAAGAATTGTCTTCATAGAAACACTAGACAGAAACATCCTCAGAAACTGCTTTCTGTTGTGTGCGTTCAACTCACGGACTCGAACCTTTCTTTGGATAGAGCGGTGTTGAGACACACTTTTTGTAGAATCCGCAAGATTTCGTTCCGTGTGCTTCGTTGCCTCTGGTGGAAAGAAAATATCGTTACATAAAAAGCTAGACAGAAGCATTCTCAAAAAGTGCTATGTGATGTGTGCATTCAACTCACACAGTTGAACCTTCCTTTTGAGAGAGCAGTTTTGAAAGTCTCTTTGTAGTATCTGCAAGTGGATGTTTTAGCCATTTGAGGCCATTTAGATGGAAAAGGAAATGACTTCACATACAAACCAGACAGAAGGATTCTCAGAAACTCCTTAGGCTGTGTGTGTTCAAATAACAGAGTTGAACCTTTCTATTGATAGAGCAGTTTCAAAACACTGCTTTTGTAGTATCTGCTTGTGGATATTTGGAGCTCTCTGAGGAATTCGTTGTAAATGGAATCTCTTCACATACAAACTAGACAGATGCATTTTCCGAAAGTTCACTGGGATGTGTGCAATTCAACTCACAGACTTGAAACTTTCTTTTGATAGAGCAGTGTAGAAACACGCTTTTTGTAGAATCCGCAAGAGTTCCTTTGGAGACCTTTGTTGCCTATGGTGGAAAAAGAAATATCTTCAAATAAAAACTAGACAGAAGCATTCTCAGGAACTTCACTGAGATGTGTGCATTTAACTAACAGAGTTGAATCTGTCTTTAGATAGACCAGCATTTAAGCACTCCTTCTGTAGAATCTGCTTGTGGATACTTGGAACTCTTTGAAGAATTCGTTGGAAACGGGTATCTTCCCATGTAAAGTAGACCCAAGCATTCTCAGAAACTTCTTCGTGATATGTGAATTCACCTCTTGGAGTGGAACCCTTCTTTTGATAGAGTGGTTTTGAGGCCGTCTTTTATGAGGATCTGCCAGTTCTCATTTGGAGCGCTTTGAAGCCTATGGTGGAAAAGGAGATACATTCACATAAAAACTAGAAAGAAGCATTCTCAGGAACTGCTTTGTGATGTGTGCATTCAACTCACGGGACTTGAACCTTCCCTTTGAGAGAGCAGTTTTGAAACAGTCTTTTTGTAGTATCTGAAATTGGATATTTAGAGCGACTTGAGTCCTATGATGGAAAAGGGAATATCTTCACATACAAATTGGACAGAAGCATTTTCAGAAACTGCCTTGTGATGTGTGCATTCAACTCACAGAGTTGAACCTTCCTTTTGAGAGAGAACATTTGAAACAGTCTTTTTGTAGTATTTGCAAGTGGATATTTGGAGCGATTTGAGGCCTGTGATGGAAAAGGAAATAACTTCAGATACAAACTAGACAGAAGCATTCTCAGAAACTGCTTCGTAACGTGTGCATTCAACTCACAGAGTCGAACCTTCCTTTTGAGAGAGCGGTTTTGAAACAGTCTTTTTGTAGTATCTGCAAGTGGATATTTGCAGTGATTTGAGGCCGAAGAAGGAAAAGGAAATACCTTCAAATAAAAAACTAGACGGAAGCATTCTCTGAAACTCCTTTGTGATGTGTGTGTTCAATTCACATCGTTGAACCTTTCTTTTGATAGAGCAGTGTTGAAACATCCTTTTTCTAGAATCTGCAAGTGTTCATTTCGAGTACTTTTTTACGTATGTTGGAAAAAGTGATATCTTCACCTGAAAAATAGAGAGAAGCATTCTCAGAAAGTTCGTTGTGATGTGTGCATTCAACTCACAGACTTGAAACTTTCTTTTGATAGAGCAGTGTTGAAACACACTTGTTGTAGAACCCACAAGTATTCATTTGGAGCGCTTTGTTGCCTATGTGGGAAAAGGTAATATCGTCACTTAAACACTAGACAGAAGCCTTCTCAGGAACTTCACTGAGATGTGTGCATTCAACTAACACAGTTGAAACTGTCTTTTGACAGAGCAGGAGTGAAACACTCCTTTTGCAGTATCTGACTGTGTATATTTGGAACTCTTTGAGTTATTCGTTGGAAACGGGTATCTTCACATAAAAAGTAGACCCAAGCATTCTCAGGAACTGCTTTGTGATGTGTGCATTCAACTCACACAGTTGAACCTTCCTTTTGAGAGAGCAGTTTGGAATCAGTCTTTTGGTAGGACCTGCAAGTTTTCATTTGGGGCACTGTGAAGCCTATGGTGGAAAAGGGAATATCTTCACAAAAAACTAGGCAGAAGTATTCTCACAGACTCCATTGTGATGTGTGCACTCAACTCACAGAGTTGAACCTTCCTTTTGAGAGAGCAGTTTTGAAACAGTCTTTTTGTAATGTCTGCAAGTGGATATTTGGAGCGATTCGAGTACTATGATGGAAAAGGAAATATCTTCACATACAAACTAAACGGAAGCATTCTCAGAAACTCCTTTGTGATGTTTGTGTTCAATTCCCCGAGCTGAACCTTTCCTTTGATAGAGCAGGTTTGAAGCACTGCTTTTGTGGAATCTGCTTCCAGATATTTAGAGCTCTCGGAGGAATTCGTTGTAAACGGGACATCTTCACATTCTAACTAGACTAGACAGAATCATTCTCAGAAACTAGCTTTGTGATGTGTGCAGTCCACTCACAGACTTGGACCTTTGTTTTGATAGAGCAGTGTTAAAACACAGTTTTTGTGAAATCTGCAAGTGTTCATTTGCAGCGTATTGTTGCCTATGGTAGAAAAAGAATTATCTTCATAGAAACACTAGACAGAAGCATCCTCAGAAACTGCTTTCTGTTGTGTGCGTTCAACTCACGGACTCGAACCTTTCTTTGGATAGAGCAGTGTTGAAACACGCTTTTTGGAGATTCTGCAAGTTTTCATTCCGTGTGCTTTGTTGCCTATGGTGGAAAGAAAATATCGTTACATAAAAAGCTAGACAGAAGCATTCTCAAAAACTGCTATGTGATGTGTGCATTCAATTCACACAATTGAACCTTCCTTTTGAGAGAGCAGTTTTGAAAGTCTTTTTGTAGTATCTGCGAGTGGATCTTTTAGCGATTTGAGGCGATTTAGATGGAAAAGGAAATGACTTCACATACAAACCAGACAGAAGGATTCTCAGAAACTCCTTTGAATGTGTGTGTTCAATGAACAGAGTTGAACCTTTCTATTGATAGAGCAGTTTTAAAACACTGCTTTGGTAGAATCTGCTTGTGGATATTTGGAGCTCTTTGAGGAATTCGTTGTAAATGGAATCTCTTCACATACAAACTAGACAGAAGCACTCTCCGAAAGTTCACTGGGATGTGTGCATTCAACTCACAGACTTGAAACTTTCCTTTGATAGAACAGTGTAGAAACACGCTTTTTGTAGAATCCGCAAGAGTTCCTTTGGAGCGCTTTGTTGCCTATGGTGGAAAAAGAAATATCTTCAAATGAAAACTAGACAGAAGCATTCTCAGGAACTTCACTGAGATGTGTGCATTTAACTAACAAGAGTTGAATCTGTCTTTAGATAGACCAGCATTTAAGCACTCCTTTTGCAGAATCTGCTTGTGGATACTTGGAACTCTTTGAAGAATTCGTTGGAAACGGGTATCTTCACATGAAAAGTAGACCCAAGCATTCTCAGAAACTTCTCCGTGATATGTGAATTCACCTCTTGGAGTGGAACCCTTCTTTTGATAGAGCGGTTTTGAGGCCGTCTTTTATGAGGATCTGCCAGTTCTCATTTGGAGCGCTGTGAAGCCTATGGTGGAAAAGGAGATACATTCACATAAGAACTAGAAAGAAGCATTCTCAGGAACTGCTTTGTGATGTGTGCATTCAACTCACGGACTTGAACCTTCCCTTTGAGAGAGCAGTTTTGAAACAGTCTTTTTGGAGTATCTGAAATTGGATATTTAGAGCGACTTGAGTCCTATGATGGAAAAGGGAATATCTTCACATAAAAATTGGACAGAAGCATTTTCAGAAACTGCCTTGTGATGTGTGCATTCAACTCACAGAGTTGAACCTTCCTTTTGAGAGAGAACTTTCGAAACAGTCTTTTTGTAGTATTTGCAAGTGGATATTTGGAGCGATTTGAGGCCTATGATGGAAAAGGAAATAACTTGAGATACAAATTAGACAGAAGCATTCTCAGAAACTGCTTCGTAACGTGTGCATTCAACTCACAGAGTCGAACCTTCCTTTTGAGAGAGCGGTTTTGAAACAGTCTTTTTGTAGTGTCTGCAAGTGGATATTTGCAGTGATTTGAGGCCAAAGAAGGAAAAGGAAATACCTTCAAATAAAAAACTAGACGGAAGCATTCTCTGAAACTCCTTTGTGATGTGTGTGTTCAATTCACATCGTTGAACCTTTCTTTTGATAGAGCAGTGTTGAAACATACTTTTTGTAGAATCTGCAAGTGTTCATTTCCAGTACTTTTTTACGTATGTTGGAAAAAGTGATATCTTCACCTGAAAAATAGACAGAAGCATTCTCAGAAAGTTCGTTGTGATGTGTGCATTCAACTCACAGACTTGAAACTTTCTTTTGATAGAGCAGTGTTGAAACACACTTTTTGTAGAACCCAGAAGTATTCATTTGGAGCGCTTTGTTGCCTATGTGGGAAAAGGTAATATCGTCACTTAAACACTAGACAGAAGCCTTCTCAGGAACTTCACTGAGATGTGTGCCTTCAACTAACAGAGTTGAAACTGTCTTTTGACAGAGCAGGAGTGAAACACTCCTTTTGCAGTATCTGACTGTGTATATTTGGAACTCTTTGAGTTATTCGTTGGAAACGGGTATCTTCACATAAAAAGTAGACCCAAGCATTCTCAGGAACTGCTTTGTGATGTGTGCATTCAACTCACACAGTTGAACCTTCCTTTTGAGAGAGCAGTTTTGAATCAGTCTTTTTGTAGGACCTGCAAGTTTTCATTTGGAGCGCTGTGAAGCCCATGGTTGAAAAGGGAATATCTTCACAAAAAACTAGGCAGAAGCATTCTCAGAAACTGCTTTGTGATGTGTGCATTCAACTCACAGAGTTGAACCTTCCATTGGAGAGAGCAGTGTTGAAACGGTATTTTTGTAGTATCTGCAAGTGGATATTTGGAGCGATTTGAGGCCTATGATGGAAAAGGAAATATCTTCACATACAAACTAGACAGAAGCATTCTCAGAAACTCCTTTGTGATGCTTGTGTTCAATTCCCGGAGCTGAACCTTTCCTTTGATAGAGCAGGTTTGAAGCACTGCTTTTGTAGAATCTGCTTCCAGATATTTAGAGCTCTCGGAGGAATTCTTTGTAAACGGGATATCTTCACATTCTAACTAGACTAGACAGAATCATTCTCAGAAACTGCTTTGTGATGTGTGAAGTCAACTCACAGTCTTGGACCTTTGTTTTGATAGAGCAGTGTTAAAACACAGGTTTTGTGAAATCTGCAAGTGTTCATTTGCAGCGTATTGTTGCCTATGGTAGAAAAAGAATTATCTTCATAGAAACACTAGACAGAAGCATCCTCAGAAACTGCTTTCTGTTGTGTGCGTTCAACTCACGGACTCGAACCTTTCTTTGGATAGAGCGGTGTTGAAACACACTTTTTGTAGAATCCGCACGATTTCATTCCGTGTGCTTTGTTGCCTCTGGTGCAAAGAAAATATCGTTACATAAAAAGCTAGACAGAAGCGTTCTCAAAAACTGCTTTGTGATGTGTGCATTCAACTCACACAGTTGAACCTTCCTCTTGAGAGAGCAGTTTTGAAAGTCTTTTTGTAGTATCTGCGAGTGGATCTTTTAGCGATTTGAGGCGATTTAGATGGAAAAGGAAATGACTTCACATACAAACCAGACAGAAGGATTCTCAGAAACTCCTTTGGATGTGTGTGTGTTCAATTTACAGAGTTGAACCTTTCTATTGATAGAGCAGTTTCAAAACACTGCTTTTGTAGACTCTGCTTGTGGATATTTGGAGCTCTTTGAGGAATTCGTTGTAAATGGAATCTCTTCACATGCAAACTAGACAGATGCATTCTCCGAAAGTTCACTGGGATGTGTGCATTCAACTCACTTACCTGAAACTTTCTTTTTATAGAACAGTGTAGAAACACGCTTTTTGTAGAATCCGCAAGAATTCATTTGGAGCGCTTTGTTGCCTATGGTGGAAAAAGAAGTATCTTCAAATAAAAAGTAGACAGAAGCATTCTCAGGAACTTCACTGAGATGTGTGCATTTAACTAAGAGAGTTGAATCTGTCTTTAGATAGACCAGCATTTAAACACTCCTTTTGTAGTATCTGCAGGTGGATATTTGGAACTCTTGGAAGAATTCGTTGGAAACGGTTATCTTCACATGAAAAGTAGACCCAAGCATTCTCAGAAACTTCTTCGTGATATGTGAATTCACCTCTTGGAGTGGAACCCTTGTTTTGATAGAGCGGTTTTGAGGCCGTCTTTTATGAGGATCTGCCAGTTCTCATTTGGAGCGCTGTGAAGCCTATGGTGGAAAAGTAGATACATTCACATAAGAACTAGAAAGAAGCATTCTCAGGAACTGCTTTGTGATGTGTGCATTCAACTCACGGACTTGAACTTTCCTTTTGAGAGAGCAGTTTTGAAACAGTCTTTTTGTAGTATCTGAAATTGGATATTTAGAGCGACTTGAGTCCTATGATGGAAAAGGGAATATCTTCACATAAAAATTGGACAGAAGCATTTTCAGAAACTGCCTTGTGATGTGTGCATTCAACTCACAGAGTTGAACCTTCCTTTTGAGAGAGAACTTTCGAAACAGTCTTTTTGTAGTATTTGCAAGTGGATATTTGGAGCGATTTGAGGCCTATGATGGAAAAGGAAATAACTTGAGATACAAATTAGACAGAAGCATTCTCAGAAACTGCTTCGTAACGTGTGCATTCAACTCACAGAGTCGAACCTTCCTTTTGAGAGAGCGGTTTTGAAACAGTCTTTTTGTAGTGTCTGCAAGTGGATATTTGCAGTGATTTGAGGCCGAAGAAGGAAAAGGAAATACCTTCAAATAAAAAACTAGACGGAAGCATTCTCTGAAACTCCTTTGTGATGTGTGTGTTCAATTCACATCGTTGAACCTTTCTTTTGATAGAGCAGTGTTGAAACATACTTTTTGTAGAATCTGCAAGTGTTCATTTCCAGTACTTTTTTACGTATGTTGGAAAAAGTGATATCTTCACCTGAAAAATAGACAGAAGCATTCTCAGAAAGTTCGTTGTGATGTGTGCATTCAACTCACAGACTGGAAACTTTCTTTTGATAGAGCAGTGTTGAGACACACTTTTTGTAGAACCCACAAGTATTCATTTGGAGCGCTTTGTTGCCTATGTGGGAAATACCGTCACCTAAACACTAGACAGAAGCCTCCTCAGGAACTTCATTGAGATGTGTGCATTCAAGTAACATAGTTGAAACTGTCTTTTGACAGAGCAGGAATGAAACACTCCTTTTGCAGTATCTGACTGTGTATATTTGGAACTCTTTGAGTTATTCGTTGGAAATGGGTATCTTCACATAAAAAGTAGACCCAAGCATTCTCAGGAACTGCTTTGTGATGTGTGCATTCAACTCACACAGTTGAACCTTCCTTTTGGGAGAGCAGTTTTGAATCAGTCTTTTTGTAGGACCTGCAAGTTTTCATTTGGAGTGCTGTGAAGCCTATGGTGGAAACGGGAATATCTTCACAAAAAACTAGGCAGAAGCATTCTCAGAAACTGCTTTGTGATATGTGCATTCAACTCACAGAGTTGAACCTTCCATTGGAGAGAGCAGTGTTGAAACGGTATTTTTGTAGTATCTGCAAGTGGATATTTGGAGCGATTTGAGGCCTATGATGGAAAAGGAAATATCTTCACATACAAACTAGACAGAAGCATTCTCAGAAACTCCTTTCTGATGTTTGTGTTCAATTCCCCGAGCTGAACCTTTCCTTTGACAGAGCAGGTTTGAAGCATTGCTTTTGTAGAATCTGCTTCCAGATATTTAGAGCTCTCGGAGGAATTTGTTGTAAACGGGATATCTTCACATTCTAACTAGACTAGACAGAATCATTCTCCGAAACTGCTTTGTGACGCGTGCAGTCAACTCACAGACTTGGACCTTTGTTTTGATAGAGCAGTGTTAAAACACAGTTTTTGTGAAATCTGCAAGTGTTCATTTGCAGCGTATTGTTGCCTATGGTAGAAAAAGAATTATCTTCATAGAAACACTAGACAGAAGCATCCTCAGAAGCTGCTTTCTGTTGTGTGAGTTCAACTCACGGACTCGAACCTTTCTTTGGATAGAGCAGTGTTGAAACACAATTTTTGTAGAATCCGCAAGATCTCATTCCGTGTGCTTTGTTGCCTCTGGTGCAAAGAAAATATCGTTACATAAAAAGCTAGACAGAAGCATTCTCAAAAACTGCTATGTGATGTGTGCATTCAACTCACACAGTTGAACCTTCCTTTTGAGAGAGCAGTTTTGAAAGTCCTTTTGTAGTACCTGCGAGTGGAACTTTTAGCGATTTGAGGCGATTTAGATGGAAAAGGAAATGACTTAACATACAAACCAGACAGAAGGATTCTCAGAAACTCCTTAGGATGTGTGTGATCAATTAACAGAGTTGAACCTTTCTATTGATAGAGCAGTTTCAAAACACTGCTTTTGTAGAATCTACTTGTGGATATTTGGAGCTCTCTGAGGAATTCGTTGTAAATGGAATCTCTTCACATACAAACTAGACAGATGCATTTTCCGAAAGTTCACTGGGATGTGTGCAATTCAACTCACAGACTTGAAACTTTCTTTTGATAGAGCAGTGTAGAAACACGCTTTTTGTAGAATCCGCAAGAGTTCCTTTGGAGCGCTCTGTTGCCTATGGTGGAAAAAGAAATATCTTCAAATAAAAACTAGACAGAAGCATTCTCAGGAACTTCACTGAGATGTGTGCATTTAACTAACAGAGTTGAATCTGTCTTTAGATAGACCAGCATTTAAGCACTCCTTTTGTAGAATCTGCTTGTGGATACTTGGAACTCTTTGAAGAATTCGTTGGAAACGGGTATCTTCACATGAAAAGTAGACCCAAGCATTCTCAGAAACTTCTTCGTGATATGTGAATTCACCTCTTGGAGTGGAACCATTCTTTTGATAGAGCGGTTTAAAGGCCGTCTTTTAAGAGGATCTGCCAGTTCTCATTTGGAGCGCTTTGAAGCCTATGGTGGAAAAGGAGACATATTCACATAAAAACTAGAAAGAAGCATTCTCAGGAACTGCTTTGTGATGTGTGCATTCAACTCACGGACTTGAACCTTCCCTTTGAGAGAGCAGTTTTGAAACAGTCTTTTTGTAGTATCTGAAATTGGATATTTAGAGCGACTTGAGTCCTATGATGGAAAAGGGAATATCTTCACATACAAATTGGACAGAAGCATTTTCAGAAACTGCCTTGTGATGTGTGCATTCAACTCACAGGAGTTGAACCTTCCTTTTGAGAGAGAACTTTTGAAACAGTCTTTTTGTAGTATTTGCAAGTGGATATTTGGAGCGATTTGAGGCCTATGATGGAAAAGGAAATAACTTCAGATACAAACTAGACAGAAGCATTCTCATAAACTGCTTCGTAACGTGTGCATTCAACTCACAGAGTCGAACCTTCCTTTTGAGAGAGCGGTTTTGAAACAGTCTTTTTGTAGTATCTGCAAGTGGATATTTGCAGTGATTTGAGGCCGAAGAAGGAAAAGGAAATACCTTCAAATAAAAAACTAGACGGAAGCATTCTCTGAAACTCCTTTGTGATGTGTGTGTCCAATTCACATCATTGAACCTTTCTTTTGATAGAGCAGTGTTGAAACATACTTTTTGTAGAATCTACAAGTGTTCATTTCGAGTAATTTTTTACGTATGTTGGAAAAAGTGATATCTTCACCTGAAAAATAGACAGAAGCATTCTCAGAAAGTTCGTTGTGATGTGTGCATTCAACTCACAGACTGGAAACTTTCTTTTGATAGAGTAGTGTTGAAACACACTTTTTGTAGAACCCACAAGTATTCATTTGGAGTGCTTTGTTGCCTATGTGGGAAAAGGTAATATCGTCACTTAAACACTACACAGAAGCCTTCTCAGGAACTTCACTGAGATGTGTGCATTCAACTAACAGAGTTGAAACTGTCTTTTGACAGAGCAGGAGTGAAACACTCCTTTTGCAGTATCTGACTGTGTATATTTGGAACTCTTTGAGTTATTCGTTGGAAACGGGTATCTTCACATAAGAAGTAGACCCAAGCATTCTCAGGAACTGCTTTGTGATGTGTGCATTCAACTCACACAGTTGAACCTTCCTTTTGATAGAGCAGTTTTGAATCAGTCTTTTGGTAGGACCTGGAATTTTTCATTTGGAGCACTGTGAAGCCCATGGTGGAAAAGGGAATATCTTCACAAAAAACTAGGCAGAAGCATTCTCAGAAACTGCTTTGTGATGTGTGCATTCAACTCACAGAGTTGAACCTTCCATTGGAGAGAGCAGTGTTGAAACGGTATTTTTGTAGTATCTGCAAGTGGATATTTGGAGCGATTGGAGGCCTATGGTGGAAAAGGAAATATCTTCACATACAAACTAGACAGAAGCATTCTCAGAAACTCCTTTGTGATGCTTGTGTTCAATTCCCCGAGCTGAACCTTTCCTTTGATAGAGCAGGTTTGAAGCACTGCTTTTGTAGAATCTGCTTCCAGATATTTAGAGCTCTCGGAGGAATTCGTTGTAAACGGGATATCTTCACATTCTAACTAGACTAGACAGAATCATTCTCAGAAACTGCTTTGTGATGTGTGCAGTCAACTCACAGACTTGGACCTTTGTTTTGATAGAGCAGTGTTAAAACACAGTTTTGGTGAAATCTGCAAGTGTTCATTTGCAGCGTATTGTTGCCTATGGTAGAAAAAGAATTATCTTCATAGAAACACTAGACAGAAGCATCCTCAGAAACTGCTTTCTGTTGTGTGCGTTCAACTCACGGACTCGAACCTTTCTTTGGATAGAGCAGTGTTGAAACACACTTTTTGTAGAATCCGCAAGATTTCATTCCGTGTGCTTTGTTGCCTATGGTGGAAAGAAAATATCGTTACATAAAAAGCTAGACAGAAGCGTTCTCAAAAACTGCTATGTGATGTGCGCATTCAACTCACACAGTTGAACCTTCCTTTTGAGAGAGCAGTTTTGAAAGTCTTTTTGTAGTATCTGCGAGTGGATCTTTTAGCGATTTGAGGCGATTTAGATGGAAAAGGAAATGACTTCACATACAAACGAGACAGAAGGATTCTCAGAAACTCCTTTGGATGTGTGTGCTCAATTAACAGAGTTGAACCTTTCTATTGATAGAGCAGTTTCAAAACACTGCTTTTGTAGACTCTGCTTGTGGATAATTGGAGCTCTTTGAGGAATTCGTTGTAAATGGAATCTCTTCACATGCAAACTAGACAGATGCATTTTCCGAAAGTTCACTGGGATGTGTGCAATTCAACTCACAGACTTGAAACTTTCTTTTGATAGAGCAGTGTGGAAACAAGCTTTTTGTAGAATCCGCAAGAGTTCCTTTGGAGCGCTTTGTTGCCTACGGTGGAAAAAGCAATATCTTCAAATAAAAACTAGACAGAAGCATTCTCAGGAACTTCACTGAGATGTGTGCATTTAACTAACAGAGTTGAATCTGTCTTTAGATAGACCAGCATTTAAGCACTCCTTTTGTAGAATCTGCTTGTGGATACTTGGAACTCTTTGAAGAATTCGTTGGAAACGGGCATCTTCACATGAAAAGTAGACCCAAGCATTCTCAGAAACTTCTTCGTGATATGTGAATTCACCTCTTGGAGTGGAACCCTTGTTTTGATAGAGCGGTTTTGAGGCCGTCTTTTATGAGGATCTGCCAGTTCTCATTTGGAGCGCTGTGAAGCCTATGGTGGAAAAGTAGATACATTCACATAAGAACTAGAAAGAAGCATTCTCAGGAACTGCTTTGTGATGTGTGCATTCAACTCACGGACTTGAACTTTCCCTTTGAGAGAGCAGTTTTGAAACAGTCTTTTTGTAGTATCTGAAATTGGATATTTAGAGCGACTTGAGTCCTATGATGGAAAAGGGAATATCTTCACATAAAAATTGGACAGAAGCGTTTTCAGAAACTGCCTTGTGATGTGTGCATTCAACTCACAGAGTTGAACCTTCCTTTTGAGAGAGAACTTTTGAAACAGTCTTTTTGTAGTATTTGCAAGTGGATATGTGGAGCGATTTGAGGCCTATGATGGAAAAGGAAATAACTTCAGATACAAACTAGACAGAAGCATTCTCAGAAACTGCTTCGTAACGTGTGCGTTCAACTCACAGAGTCGAACCTTCCTTTTGAGAGAGCGGTTTTGAAACAGTCTTTTTGTAGTATCTGCAAGTGGATATTTGCAGTGATTTGAGGCTGAAGAAGGAAAAGGAAATACCTTCAAATAAAAAACTAGACGGAAGCATTCTCTGAAACTCCTTTGTGATGTGTGTGTTCAATTCACATCGTTGAACCTTTCTTTTGATAGAGCAGTGTTGAAACATACTTTTTGTAGAATCTGCAAGTGTTCATTTCCAGTACTTTTTTACGTATGTTGGAAAAAGTGATATCTTCACCTGAAAAATAGACAGAAGCATTCTCAGAAAGTTCGTTGTGATGTGTGCATTCAACTCACAGACTTGAAACTTTCCTTTGATAGAGCAGTGTTGAAACACACTTTTTGTAGAACCCCCAAGTATTCATTTGGAGCGCTTTGTTGCCTATGTGGTAAAAGGTAATATCGTCACTTAAACACTAGACAGAAGCCTCCTCAGGAACTTCACTGAGATGTGTGCATTCAACTAACAGAGTTGAAACTGTCTTTTGACAGAGCAGGAATGAAACACTCCTTTTGCAGTATCTGACTGTGTATATTTGGAACTCTTTGAGTTATTCGTTGGAAACGGGTATCTTCACATAAAAAGTAGACCCAAGCATTCTGAGGAACTGCTTTGTGATGTGTGCATTCAACTCACACAGTTGAACCTTCCTTTTGAGAGAGCAGTTTTGAATCAGTCTTTTTGTAGGACCTGCAAGTTTTCATTTGGAGCGCTGTGAAGCCCATGGTGGAAAAGGGAATATCTTCACAAAAAACTAGGCAGAAGCATTCTCAGAAACTGCTTTGTGATGTGTGCATTCAACTCACAGAGTTGAACCTTCCATTGGAGAGAGCAGTGTTGAAACGTTATTTTTGTAGTATCTGCAAGTGGATATTTGGAGCGATTTGAGGCCTATGATGGAAAAGGAAATATCTTCACATACAAACTAGACAGAAGCATTCTCAGAAACTCCTTTGTGATGTTTGTGTTCAATTCCCC
This sequence comes from Homo sapiens, assembly GCF_000001405.40. Taxonomy (NCBI): domain Eukaryota; kingdom Metazoa; phylum Chordata; class Mammalia; order Primates; family Hominidae; genus Homo; species Homo sapiens. The sequence goes on from NC_000005.10 coordinate 46,521,138, forward strand.
GAGCTGAACCTTTCCTTTGATAGAGCAGGTTTGAAGCACTGCTTTTGTAGAATCTGCTTCCAGATATTTAGAGCTCTCGGAGGAATTCGTTGTAAACGGGATATCTTCACATTCTAACTAGACTAGACAGAATCATTCTCCGAAACTGCTTTGTGATGTGTGCAGTCAACTCACAGACTTGGACCTTTGTTTTGATAGAGCAGTGTTAAAACACAGTTTCTGTGAAATCTGCAAGTGTTCATTTGCAGCGTGTTGTTGCCTATGGTAGAAAAAGAATTATCTTCATAGAAACACTAGACAGAAGCATCCTCAGAAACTGCTTTCTGTTGTGTGCGTTCAACTCACGGACTCGAACCTTTCTTTGGATAGAGCAGTGTTTAAACACACTTTTTGTAGAATCCGCAAGATTTCATTCCGTGTGCTTTGTTGCCCCTGGTGCAAAGAAAATATCGTTACATAAAAAGCTAGACAGAAGCGTTCTCAAAAACTGCTATGTGATGTGTGCATTCAACTCACACAGTTGAACCTTCCTTTTGAGAGAGCAGTTTTGAAAATCTTTTTGTAGTATCTGCAAGTGGATCTTTTAGCCATTTGAGGCTATTTAGATGGAAAAGGAAATGACTTCACATACAAACCAGACAGAAGGTTTCTCAGAAACTCCTTAGGATGTGTGTGTTCAATTAACAGAGTTGAACCTTTCTATTGATAGAGCAGTTTCAAAACACTGCTTTTGTAGAATCTGCTTGTGGATATTTGGAGCTCTTTGAGGAATTCATTGTAAATGGAATCTCTTCACATACAAACTAGAAAGATGCATTCTCCGAAAGTTCACTGGGATGTGTGCATTCAACTCACAGACTTGAAACTTTCTTTTGATAGAGCAGTGTAGAAACACGCTTTTTGTACAACCTGCAAGAGTTCCTTTGGAGCACTTTGTTGCCTATGGTGGAAAAAGAAATATCTTGAAATAAAAGCTAGACAGAAGCATTCTCAGGAACTTCACTGAGATGTGTGCATTTAACTAACAGAGTTGTATCTGTCTTTAGATAGACCAGCATTTAAGCACTCCTTCTGTAGAATCTGCTTGTGGATACTTGGAACTCATTGTAGAATTCGTTGGAAACGGGTATCTTCCCATGAAAAGTAGACCCAAGCATTCTCAGAAAGTTCTTCATGATGTGTGAATTCACCTCTTGGAGTGGAACCCTTCTTTTGATAGAGCGGTTTTGAGGCCGTCTTTTATGAGGATCTGCCAGTTCTCATTTGGAGCGCTTTGAAGCCTATGGTGGAAAAGGAGATACATTCACATAAAAACTAGAAAGAAGCATTCTCAGGAACTGCTTTGTGATGTGTGCATTCAACTCACGGACTTGAACCTTCCCTTTGAGAGAGCAGTTTTGAAACAGTCTTTTTGTAGTATCTGAAATTGGATATTTAGAGCGACTTGAGTCCTATGATGGAAAAGGGAATATCTTCACATAAAAATTGGACAGAAGCATTTTCAGAAACTGCCTTGTGATGTGTGCACTCATCTCACAGAGTTGAACCTTCCTTTTGAGAGAGAACTTTTGAAACAGTCTTTTTGTAGTATTTGCAAGTGGATATTTGGAGCGATTTGAGGCCTATGATGGAAAAGGAAATAACTTCAGATACAAACTAGACAGAAGCATTCTCAGAAACTGCTTCGTAACGTGTGCATTCAACTCAAAGATTCGAACCTTCCTTCTGAGAGAGCGGTTTTGAAACAGTCTTTCTGTAGTATCTGCAAGTGGATATTTGCAGTGATTTGAGGCCGAAGAAGGAAAAGGAAATACCTTCAAAGAAACAACCGGACGGAAGCATTCTCTGAAACTCCTTTGTGATGTGTGTGTTCAATTCACATCGTTGAACCTTTCTTTTGATAGAGCAGTGTTGAAACATACTTTTTGTAGAATCTGCAAGTGTTCATTTCCAGTACTTTTTTACGTATGTTGGAAAAAGTGATATCTTCACCTGAAAAATAGACAGAAGCATTCTCAGAAAGTTCGTTGTGATGTGTGCATTCAACTCACAGACTTGAAACTTTCTTTTGATAGAGCAGTGTTGAAACACACTTGTTGTAGAACCCCCAGGTATTCATTTGGAGCGCTTTGTTGCCTATGTGGGAAAAGGTAATGTCGTCACTTAAACACTAGACAGAAGCCTCCTCAGGAACTTCACTGAGATGTGTGCATTCAACTAACATAGTTGAAACTGTCTTTTGACAGAGCAGGAATGAAACACTCCTTTTGCAGTATCTGACTGTGTATATTTGGAACTCTTTGAGTTATTCGTTGGAAACGGGTATCTTCACATAAAAAGTAGACCCAAGCATTCTCAGGAACTGCTTTGTGATGTGTGCATTCAACTCACACAGTTGAACCTTCCTTTTGAGAGAGCAGTTTTGAATCAGTCTTTTTGTAGGACCTGCAAGTTTTCATTTGGAGCGCTGTGAAGCCCATGGTTGAAAAGGGAATATCTTCACAAAAAACTAGGCAGAAGCATTCTCAGAAACTGCTTTGTGATGTGTGCATTCAACTCACAGAGTTGAACCTTCCATTGGAGAGAGCAGTGTTGAAACGGTATTTTTGGAGTATCTGCAAGTGGATATTTGGAGCGATTTGAGGCCTATGATGGAAAAGGAAATATCTTCACATACAAACTAGACAGAAGCATTCTCAGAAACTCCTTTGCGATGTTTGTGTTCAATTCCCCGAGCTGAACCTTTCCTTTGATAGAGCAGGTTTGAAGCACTGCTTTTGTAGAATCTGCTTCCAGATATTTAGAGCTCTCGGAGGAATTCGTTGTAAACGGGATATCTTCACATTCTAACTAGACTAGACAGAATCATTCTCAGAAACTGCTTTGTGATGTGTGCAGTCAACTCACAGGCTTGGACCTTTGTTTTGATAGAGCAGTGTTAAAACACAGTTTTTGTGAAATCTGCAAGTGTTCATTTGCAGCGTATTGTTGCCTATGGTAGAAAAAGAATTATCTTCATAGAAACACTAGACAGAAGCATCCTCAGAAACTGCTTTCTGTTGTGTGCGTTCAACTCACGGACTCGAACCTTTCTTTGGATAGAGCAGTGTTGAAACACACTTTTTGTAGAATCCGCAAGATTTCATTCCGTGTGCTTTGTTGCCTCTGGTGCAAAGAAAATATCGTTACATAAAAAGCTAGACAGAAGCATTCTCAAAAACTGCTTTGTGATGTGTGCATTCAAGTCACACAGTTGAACCTTCCTTTTGAGAGAGCAGTTATCAAACAGTCTTTTTGTAGTATCTGCAAGTGGATCTTTTAGCGATTTGAGGCAATTTAGATGGAAAAGGAAATGACTTCACATACAAACCAGACAGAAGGATTCTCAGAAACTCCTTAGGATGTGTGTGTTCAATTAACAGAGTTGAACCTTTCTATTGATAGAGCAGTTTCAAAACACTGCTTTTGTAGAATCTGCTTGTGGATATTTGGAGCTCTTTGAGGAATTCGTTGTAAATGGAATCTCTTCACATACAAACTAGACAGATGCATTTTCCGAAAGTTCACTGGGATGTGTGCAATTCAACTCACAGACTTGAAACTTTCTTTTCATAGGGCAGTGTAGAAACACGCTTTTTGTAGAATCCGCAAGAGTTCCTTTGGAGCGCTTTGTTGCCTATGGTGGAAAAAGAAATATCTTCAAATAAAAACCAGACAGAAGCATTCTCAGGAACTTCACTGAGATGTGTGCATTTAACTAACAGAGTTGAATCTGTCTTTAGATAGACCAGCATTTAAGCACTCCTTTTGTAGAATCTGCTTGTGGATACTTGGAACTCTTTGAAGAAGTCGTTGGAAACGGGTATCTTCTCATGAAAAGTAGACCCAAGCATTCTCAGAAACTTCTTCGTGATAAGTGAATTCACCTCTTGGAGTGCAACCCTTCTTTTGATAGTGCGGTCTCGAGGCCGTCTTTTATGAGGATCTGCCAGTTCTCATTTGGAGCGCTTTGAAGCCTATGGTGGAAAAGGAGATACATTCACATAAAAACTAGAAAGAAGCATTCTCAGGAACTGCTTTGTGATGTGTGCATTCAACTCACGGACTTGAACCTTCCCTTTGAGAGAGCAGTTTTGAAACAGTCTTTTTGTAGTATCTGAAATTGGATATTTAGAGCGACTTGAGTCCTATGATGGAAAAGGGAATATCCTCACATAAAAACTGGACGGAAGCATTTTCAGAAACTGACTTGTGATGTGTGCACTCAAATCACAGGGTTGAACCTTCCTTTTGAGAGAGAACTTTTGAAACAGTCTTTTTGTAGTATTTGCAAGTGGATATATGGAGCGATTTGAGGCCTATGATGGAAAAGGAAATAACTTCAGATACAAACTAGACAGAAGCATTCTCAGAAACTGCTTCGTAACGTGTGCATTCAACTCACAGAGTCGAACCTTCCTTTTGAGAGAGCGGTTTTGAAACAGTCTTTCTGTAGTATCTGCAAGTGGATATTTGCAGTGATTTGAGGCCGAAGAAGGAAAAGGAAATACCTTCAAAGAAACAACCGGACGGAAGCATTCTCTGAAACTCCTTTGTGATGTGTGTGTTCAATTCACATCGTTGAACCTTTCTTTTGATAGAGCAGTGTTGAAACATACTTTTTGTAGAATCTGCAAGTGTTCATTTCGAGTACCTTTTTACGTATGTTGGAAAAAGTGATATCTTCACCTGAAAAATAGACAGAAGCATTCTCAGAAAGTTCGTTGTGATGTGTGCATTCAACTCACAGACTGGAAACTTTCTTTTGATAGAGCAGTGTTGAGACACACTTTTTGTAGAACCCACAAGTATTCATTTGGAGCGCTTTGTTGCCTATGTGGGAAAAGGTAATATCGTCACCTAAACACTAGACAGAAAGCCTCCTCAGGAACTTCACTGAGATGTGTGCATTCAACTAACATAGTTGAAACTGTCTTTTGACAGAGCAGGAATGAAACACTCCTTTTGCAGTATCTGACTGTGTATATTTGGAACTCTTTGAGTTATTCGTTGGAAACGGGTATCTTCACATAAAAAGTAGACCCAGCATTCTCAGGAACTGCTTTGTGATGTGTGCATTCAACTCACACAGTTGAACCTTCCTTTTGGGAGAGCAGTTTTGAATCAGTCTTTTTGTAGGACCTGCAAGTTTTCATTTGGAGCGCTGTGAAGCCTATGGTGGAAAAGGGAATATCTTCACAAAAAACTAGGCAGAAGCATTCTCAGAAACTGCTTTGTGATGTGTGCATTCAACTCACAGAGTTGAACCTTCCATTGGAGAGAGCAGTGTTGAAACGGTATTTTTGTAGTATCTGCAAGTGGATATTTGGAGCGATTTGAGGCCTATGATGGAAAAGGAAATGTCTTCACATACAAACTAGACAGAAGCATTCTCAGAAACTCCTTTGTGATGTTTGTGTTCAATTCCCCGAGCTGAACCTTTCCTTTGACAGAGCAGGTTTGAAGCACTGCTTTTGTGGAATCTGCTTCCAGATATTTAGAGCTCTCGGAGGAATTCGTTGTAAACGGGACACCTTCACATTCTAACTAGACTAGACAGAGAGATCACATGGACACAGGAAGGGGATTATCACACTATGGGGACAGTTCTGGGGCGGGGGATCGGGGGGAGGGATAGCATTGGGAGATATACCTAATGCTAGATGACGAGTTAGTAGCTGCAGTGCACCAGCATGGCACATGTACACATATGTAAATAAACTGCAAAATGAGTAAATGCACCCTAAAACATAAAGTACCTAAAAAAATAAAAAAAACTGCTCTATCAAAAGAAATTTTCAACTCTGTGAATTCAACACACACATCACAAAGTAGTTTCTGAGAATGCTAC
>NC_000005.10:46527127-46546426 GCF_000001405.40 Homo sapiens
AGCATCCTCAGAAACTGCTTTCTGTTGTGTGCGTTCAACTCACGGACTCGAACCTTTCTTTGGATAGAGCGGTGTTGAAACACACTTTTTGTAGAATCCGCAAGATTTCATTCCGTGTGCTTTGTTGCCTCTGGTGCAAATAAAATATCGTTACATAAAAAGCTAGACAGAAGCGTTCTCAAAAACTGCTATGTGATGTGCGCATTCAACTCACACAGTTGAACCTTCCTTTTGAGAGAGCAGTTTTGAAAGTCTTTTTGTAGTATCTGCGAGTGGATCTTTTAGCGATTTGAGGCGATTTAGATGGAAAAGGAAATGACTTCACATACAAACCAGACGGAAGGATTCTCAGAAACTCCTTAGGCTGGGTGTGTTCAAATAACAGAGTTGAACCTTTCTATTGATAGAGCAGTTTCAAAACACTGCTTTTGTAGAATCTGCTTGTGGATATTTGGAGCTCTTTGAGGAATTCGTTGTAAATGGAATCTCTTCACATACAAACTAGACAGATGCATTTTCCGAAAGTTCACTGGGATGTGTGCAATTCAACTCACAGACTTGAAACTTTCTTTTCATAGGGCAGTGTAGAAACACGCTTTTTGTAGAATCCGCAAGAGTTCCTTTGGAGCGCTTTGTTGCCTATGGTGGAAAAAGAAATATCTTCAAATAAAAACTAGACAGAAGCATTCTCAGGAACTTCACTGAGATGTGTGCATTTAACTAACAGAGTTGTATCTGTCTTTAGATAGACCAGCATTTAAGCACTCCTTCTGTAGAATCTGCTTGTGGATACTTGAAACTCATTGTAGAATTCGTTGGAAACGGGTATCTTCCCATGAAAAGTAGACCCAAGCATTCTCAGAAAGTTCTTCATGATGTGTGAATTCACCTCTTGGAGTGGAACCCTTCTTTTGATAGAGCGGTTTTGAGGCCGTCTTTTATGAGGATCTGCCAGTTCTCATTTGGAGCGCTTTGAAGCCTATGGTGGAAAAGGAGATACATTCACATAAAAACTAGAAAGAAGCATTCTCAGGAACTGCTTTGTGATGTGTGCATTCAACTCACGGACTTGAACCTTCCCTTTGAGAGAGCAGTTTTGAAACAGTCTTTTTGTAGTATCTGAAATTGGATATTTAGAGCGACTTGAGTCCTATGATGGAAAAGGGAATATCTTCACATAAAAATTGGACAGAAGCATTTTCAGAAACTGCCTTGTGATGTGTGCATTCAACTCACAGAGTTGAACCTTCCTTTTGAGAGAGAACTTTTGAAACAGTCTTTTTGTAGTATTTGCAAGTGGATATTTGGAGCGATTTGAGGCCTATGATGGAAAAGGAAATAACTTCAGATACAAACTAGACAGAAGCATTCTCAGAAACTGCTTCGTAACGTGTGCATTCAACTCACAGAGTCGAACCTTCCTTTTGAGAGAGCGGTTTTGAAACAGTCTTTTTGTAGTGTCTGCAAGTGGATATTTGCAGTGATTTGAGGCCGAAGAAGGAAAAGGAAATACCTTCAAATAAAAAACTAGACGGAAGCATTCTCTGAAACTCCTTTGTGATGTGTGTGTTCAATTCACATCGTTGAACCTTTCTTTTGATAGAGCAGTGTTGAAACATACTTTTTGTAGAATCTGCAAGTGTTCATTTCCAGTACTTTTTTACGTATGTTGGAAAAAGTGATATCTTCACCTGAAAAATAGACAGAAGCATTCTCAGAAAGTTCGTTGTGATGTGTGCATTCAACTCACAGACTGGAAACTTTCTTTTGATAGAGCAGTGTTGAAACACACTTCTTGTAGAACCCACAAGTATTCATTTGGAGCGCTTTGTTGCCTATGTGGGAAAAGGTAATATCGTCACCTAAACACTAGACAGAAGCCTTCTCAGGAACTTCATTGAGATGTGTGCATTCAACTAACAGAGTTGAAACTGTCTTTTGACAGAGCAGGAGTGAAACACTCCTTTTGCAGTACCTGACTGTGTATATTTGGAACTCTTTGAGTTATTCGTTGGAAACGGGTATCTTCACATAAAAAGTAGACCCAAGCATTCTCAGGAACTGCTTTGTGATGTGTGCATTCAACTCACACAGTTGAACCTTCCTTTTGGGAGAGCAGTTTTGAATCAGTCTTTTTGTAGGACCTGCAAGTTTTCATTTGGAGCGCTGTGAAGCCTATGGTGGAAAAGGGAATATCTTCACAAAAAACTAGGCAGAAGCATTCTCAGAAACTGCTTTGTGATGTGTGCTTTCAACTCACAGAGTTGAACCTTCCATTGGAGAGAGCAGTGTTGAAACGGTATTTTTGTAGTATCTGCAAGTGGATATTTGGAGCGATTGGAGGCCTATGATGGAAAAGGAAATATCTTCACATACAAACTAGACAGAAGCATTCTCAGAAACTCCTTTGTGATGTTTGTGTTCAATTCCCTGAGCTGAACCTTTCCTTTGATAGAGCAGCTTTGAAGCACTGCTTTTGTAGAATCTGCTTCCAGATATCTAGAGCTCTTGGAGGAATTCGTTGTACACGGGATATCTTCTCATTCTAACTAGACAGAATCATTCTCAGAAACTGCTTTGTGATGTGTGCAGTCAACTCACAGACTTGGACCTTTCTTTTGATAGAGCAGTTTTAAAACACAGTTTTGGTGAAATCTGCAAGTGTTCATTTGCAGCGTATTGTTGCCTATGGTAGAAAAAGAATTATCTTCATAGAAACACTAGACAGAAGCATCCTCAGAAACTGCTTTCTGTTGTGTGCGTTCAACTCAGGGACTCGAAAGTTTCTTTGGATAGAGCGGTGTTGAAACACACTTTTTATAGTATCCGCAAGATTTCGTTCCGTGGGCTTTGTTGCCTCTGGTGGAAAGAAAATATCGTTACATAAAAAGCTAGACAGAAGCAATCTCAAAAACTGCTTTGTGATGTGTGCATTCAAGTCACACAGTTGAACCTTCCTTTTGAGAGAGCAGTTTTGAAAGTCTTTTGGTAGTATGTGCAAGTGGATCTTTTAGCGATTTGAGGCGGTTTAGATGGAAAAGGAAATGACTTCACATACAATCCAGACAGAAGGATTCTCAGAAACTCCTTTGGATGTGTGTGCTCAATTAAAAGAGTTGAACCTTTCTATTGATAGAGCAGTTTCAAAACACTGCTTTTGTAGACTCTGCTTGTGGATAATTGGAGCTCTTTGAGGAATTCGTTGTAAATGGAATCTCTTCACATGCAAACTAGACAGATGCATTCTCCGAAAGTTCACTGGGACGTGTGCATTCAACTCACAGACTTGAAACTTTCTTTTGATAGAACAGTTTAGAAACACGCTTTTTGTAGAATCTGCTAGAGTTCCTTTGGAGCGCTTTGATGCCTATGGTGGAAAAAGTAATATCTTCAAATAAAAACTAGACAGAAGCATTCTCAGGAGCTTCACTGAGATGTGTGAATTTAACTAACAGAGTTGAATCTGTCTTTAGATAGACCAGCATTTAAGCACTCCTTCTGTAGAATCTGCTTGTGGATACTTGGAACTCTTTGAAGAATTCCTTGGAAACGGGTATCTTCCCATGAAAAGTAGACCCAAGCATTCTCAGAAACTTCTTCGTGATATGTGAATTCACCTCTTGGAGTGGAACCCTTCTTTTGATAGAGCGGTTTTGAGGCAGTCTTTTATGAAGATCTGCGAGTTCTCATTTCGAGCGCTTTGAAGCCTACGGTGGAAAAGGAGATATATTCACATAAAAACTGGAAAGAAGCATTCTCAGAAACTCCTTTGTGATGTTTGTGTTCAATTCCCCGAGCTGAACCTTTCCTTTGACAGAGCAGGTTTGAAGCACTGCTTTTGTGGAATCTGCTTCCAGATATTTAGAGCTCTCGGAGGGATTCGTTGTAAACGGGACACCTTCACATTCTAACTAGACTAGACAGAATCATTCTCAGAAACTGCTTTGTGATGTGTGCAGTCCACTCACAGACTTGGACCTTTGTTTTGATAGAGCAGTGTTAAAACACAGTTTTTGTGAAATCTGCAAGTGTTCCTTTGCAGCGTATTGTTGCCTATGGTAGAAAAAGAATTATCTTCATAGAAACACTAGACAGAAAGCATCCTCAGAAACTGCTTTCTGTTGTGTGCGTTCAACTCACGGACTCGAACCTTTCTTTGGATAGAGCGGTGTTGAGACACACTTTTTGTAGAATCCGCAAGATTTCGTTCCGTGTGCTTCGTTGCCTCTGGTGGAAAGAAAATATCGTTACATAAAAAGCTAGACAGAAGCGTTCTCAAAAACTGCTTTGTGATGTGTGCATTCAACTCACACAGTTGAACCTTCCTGTTGAGAGAGCAGTTTTGAAAGTCTTTTTGTAGTATCTGCGAGTGGATCTTTTAGCGATTTGAGGCGATTTAGATGGAAAAGGAAATGACTTCACATACAAACCAGACAGAAGGATTCTCAGAAACTCCTTTGGATGTGTGTGCTCAATTTACAGAGTTGAACCTTTCTATTGACAGAGCAGTTTCAAAACACTGCTTTTGTAGACTCTGCTTGTGGATAATTGGAGCTCTTTGAGGAATTCGTTGTAAATGGAATCTCTTCACATGCAAACTAGACAGATGCATTTTCCGAAAGTTCACTGGGATGTGTGCAATTCAACTCACAGACTTGAAACTTTCTTTTGATAGAGCAGTGTGGAAACACGCTTTTTGTAGAATCCGCAAGAGTTCCTTTGGAGCGCTTTGTTGCCTACGGTGGAAAAAGCAATATCTTCAAATAAAAACTAGACAGAAGCATTCTCAGGAACTTCACTGAGATGTGTGCATTTAACTAACAGAGTTGAATCTGTCTTTAGATAGACCAGCATTTAAGCACTCCTTTTGTAGAATCTGCTTGTGGATACTTGGAACTCTTTGAAGAATTCGTTGGAAACGGGTATCTTCACATGAAAAGTAGACCCAAGCATTCTCAGAAACTTCTTCGTGATATGTGAATTCACCTCTTGGAGTGGAACCCTTCTTTTGATAGAGCGGTTTTGAGGCCGTCTTTTATGAGGATCTGCCAGTTCTCATTTGGAGCGCTTTGAAGCCTATGGTGGAAAAGGAGATACATTCACATAAGAACTAGAAAGAAGCATTCTCAGGAACTGCTTTGTGATGTGTGCATTCAACTCACGGACTTGAACCTTCCCTTTGAGAGAGCAGTTTTGAAACAGTCTTTTTGTAGTATCTGAAATTGGATATTTAGAGCGACTTGAGGCCTATGATGGAAAAGGGAATATCTTCACATACAATTTGGACAGAAGCATTTTCAGAAACTGCCTTGTGATGTGTGCATTCAACTCACAGAGTTGAACCTTCCTTTTGAGAGAGAACTTTTGAAACAGTCTTTTTGTAGTATTTACAAGTGGATATTTGGAGCGATTTGAGGCCTATGATGGAAAAGGAAATAACTTCAGATACAAACTAGACAGAAGCATTCTCAGAAACTGCTGCGTAACGTGTGCATTCAACTCACGGAGTCGAACCTTCCTTTTGAGAGAGCGGTTTTGAAACAGTCTTTTTGTAGTATCTGCAAGTGGATATTTGCAGTGATTTGAGGCCGAAGAAGGAAAAGGAAATACCTTCAAATAAAAAACTAGACGGAAGCATTCTCTGAAACTCCTTTGTGATGTGTGTGTTCAATTCACATCTTTGAACCTTTCTTTTGATAGAGCAGTGTTGAAACATACTTTTTGTAGAATCTGCAAGTGTTCATTTCGAGTACATTTTTGTGTATGTTGGAAAAAGTGATATCTTCACCTGAAAAATCGACATTAGCATTCTCAGAAAGTTCGTTGTGATGTGTGCATTGAACTCACAGACTTGAAACTTTCTTTTGATAGAGCAGTGTTGAAACACACTTTTTGTAGAACCCACAAGTATTCATTTGGAGCGCTTTGTTGCCTATGTGGGAAAAGGTAATATCGTCACTTAAACACTAGACAGAAGCCTTCTCAGGAACTTCATTGAGATGTGTGCCTTCAACTAACAGAGTTGAAACTGTCTTTTGACAGAGCAGGAATGAAACACTCCTTTTGCAGTATCTGACTGTGTATATTTGGAACTCTTTGAGTTATTCGTTGGAAACGGGTATCTTCACATAAAAAGTAGACCCAAGCATTCTGAGGAACTGCTTTGTGATGTGTGCATTCAACTCACACAGTTGAACCTTCCTTTTGAGAGAGCAGTTTTGAATCAGTCTTTTGGTAGGACCTGCAAGTTTTCATTTGGAGCGCTGTGAAGCCCATGGTGGAAAAGGGAATATCTTCACAAAAAAATAGGCAGAAGCATTCTCAGAAACTGCTTTGTGATGTGTGCATTCAACTCACAGAGTTGAACCTTCCATTGGAGAGAGCAGTGTTGAAACGGTATTTTTGTAGTATCTGCAAGTGGATATTTGGGGCGATTTGAGGCCTATGATGGAAAAGGAAATATCTTCACATACAAACTAGACAGAAGCATTCTCAGAAACTCCTTTGTGATGTTTGTGTTCAATTCCCCGAGCTGAACCTTTCCTTTGATAGAGCAGGTTTGAAGCACTGCTTTTGTAGAATCTGCTTCCAGATATTTAGAGCTCTCGGAGGAATTCGTTGTAAACGGGAGATCTTCACATTATAACTAGACTAGACAGAATCATTCTCAGAAACTGCTTTGTGATGTGTGCAGTCAACTCACAGACTTGGATCTTTGTTTTGATAGAGCAGTGTTAAAACACAGTTTTTGTGAAATATGCAAGTGTTCATTTGCAGCGTATTGTTGCCAATGGTAGAAAAAGAATTATCTTCATAGAAACACTAGACAGAAGCATCCTCAGAAACTGCTTTCTGTTTTGTGCGTTCAACTCACGGACTCGAACCTTTCTTTGGATAGAGCGGTGTTGAAACACACTTTTTGTAGAATCCGCAAGATTTCGTTCCGTGTGCTTCGTTGCCTCTGGTGGAAAGAAAATATCGTTACATAAAAAGCTAGACAGAAGCGTTCTCAAAAACTGCTTTGTGATGTGTGCATTCAACTCACACAGTTGAACCTTCCTTTTGAGAGAGCAGTTTTGAAAGTCTTTTTGTAGTATCTGCAAGTGGATCTTTTAGCGATTTGAGGCGATTTAGATGGAAAAGGAAATGACTTCACATACAAACCAGACAGAAGGATTCTTAGAAACTCCTTTGGATGTGTGTGCTCAATTTACTGAGTTGAACCTTTCTATTGACAGAGCAGTTTCAAAACACTGCTTTTGTAGACTCTGCTTGTGGATAATTGGAGCTCTTTGAGGAATTCGTTGTAAATGGAATCTCTTCACATGCAAACTAGACAGATGCATTTTCCGAAAGTTCACTGGGATGTGTGCAATTCAACTCACAGACTTGAAACTTTCTTTTCATAGGGCAGTGTAGAAACACGCTTTTTGTAGAATCCGCAAGAGTTCCTTTGGAGCGCTTTGTTGCCTATGGTGGAAAAAGAAATATCTTCAAATAAAAACTAGACAGAAGCATTCTCAGGAACTTCACTGAGATGTGTGCATTTAACTAACAGAGTTGAATCTGTCTTTAGATAGACCAGCATTTAAGCACTCCTTTTGTAGAATCTGCTTGTGGATACTTGGAACTCTTTGAAGAATTCGTTGGAAACGGGCATCTTCACATGAAAAGTAGACCCAAGCATTCTCAGAAACTTCTTCGTGATATGTGAATTCACCTCTTGGAGTGGAACCCTTGTTTTGATAGAGCGGTTTTGAGGCCGTCTTTTATGAGGATCTGCCAGTTCTCATTTGGAGCGCTGTGAAGCCTATGGTGGAAAAGTAGATACATTCACATAAGAACTAGAAAGAAGCATTCTCAGGAACTGCTTTGTGATGTGTGCATTCAACTCACGGACTTGAACCTTCCCTTTGAGAGAGCAGTTTTGAAACAGTCTTTTTGTAGTATCTGAAATTGGATATTTAGAGCGACTTGAGTCCTATGATGGAAAAGGGAATATCTTCACATAAAAATTGGACAGAAGCATTTTCAGAAACTGCCTTGTGATGTGTGCATTCAACTCACAGAGTTGAACCTTCCTTTTGAGAGAGAACTTTCGAAACAGTCTTTTTGTAGTATTTGCAAGTGGATATTTGGAGCGATTTGAGGCCTATGATGGAAAAGGAAATAACTTGAGATACAAATTAGACAGAAGCATTCTCAGAAACTGCTTCGTAACGTGTGCATTCAACTCACGGAGTCGAACCTTCCTTTTGAGAGAGCGGTTTTGAAACAGTCTTCTTGTAGTATCCGCAAGTGGATATTTGCAGTGATTTGAGGCCGAAGAAGGAAAAGGAAATACCTTCAAATAAAAAGCTAGACGGAAGCATTCTCTGAAACTCCTTTGTGATGTGTGTGTTCAATTCACATCGTTGAACCTTTCTTTTGATAGAGCAGTGTTGAAACATCCTTTTTGTAGAATCTGCAAGTGTTCATTTCGAGTACTTTTTTACGTATGTTGGAAAAAGTGATATCTTCACCTGAAAAATAGACAGAAGCATTCTCAGAAAGTTCGTGGTGATGTGTGCATTCAACTCACAGACTGGAAACTTTCTTTTGATAGAGCAGTGTTGAGACACACTTTTTGTAGAACCCACAAGTATTCATTTGGAGCGCTTTGTTGCCTATGTGGGAAAAGGTAATATCGTCACCTAAACACTAGACAGAAGCCTTCTCAGGAACTTCATTGAGATGTGTGCATTCAACTAACAGAGTTGAAACTGTCTTTTGACAGAGCAGGAGTGAAACACTCCTTTTGCAGTACCTGACTGTGTATATTTGGAACTCTTTGAGTTATTCGTTGGAAACGGGTATCTTCACATAAAAAGTAGACCCAAGCATTCTCAGGAACTGCTTTGTGATGTGTGCATTCAACTCACACAGTTGAACCTTCCTTTTGAGAGAGCAGTTTGGAATCAGTGTTTTGGTAGGACCTGCAAGTTTTCATTTGGAGCGCTGTGAAGCCTATGGTGGAAAAGGGAATATCTTCACAAAATCTAGGCAGAAGCATTCTCAGAAACTGCTTTGTGATGTGTGCATTCAACTCACAGAGTTGAACCTTCCATTGGAGAGAGCAGTGTTGAAACGGTATTTTTGTAGTATCTGCAAGTGGATATTTGGAGCGATTGGAGGCCTATGGTGGAAAAGGAAATATCTTCACATACAAACTAGACAGAAGCATTCTCAGAAACTCCTTTGTGATGTTTGTGTTCAATTCCCAGAACTGAACCTTTCTTTTGATAGAGCAGGTTTGAAGCACTCCTTTTGTAGAATCTGCTTCCAGATATTTAGAGCTCTCGGAGGAATTCGTTGTAAACGGGATATCTTCACATTCTAACTAGACAGAATCATTCTCAGAAACTGATTTGTGATGTGTGCAATCTACTCACAGACTTGGACATTTGTTTTGATAGAGCAGTGTTAAAACACAGTTTTTGTGAAATCTGCAAGTGTTCATTTGCAGCGTATTGTTGCCTATGGTAGAAAAAGAATTATCTTCATAGAAACACTAGACAGAAGCATCCTCAGAAACTGCTTTCTGTTGTGTGCGTTCAACTCACGGACTCGAACCTTTCTTTGGATAGAGCGGTGTTGAAACACACTTTTTGTACAATCCGCAAGATTTCGTTCCGTGTGCTTCGTTGCCTCTGGTGGAAAGAAAATATCGTTACATAAAAAGCTAGACAGAAGCGTTCTCAGAAACTGCTTTGTGATGTGTGCATTCAACTCACGCAGTTGAACCTTCCTTTTGAGAGAGCAGTTTTGAAAGTCTTTTTGTAGTATCTGCGAGTGGATCTTTTAGCGATTTGAGGCGATGTAGATGGAAAAGGAAATGACTTCACATACAAACCAGACAGAAGGATTCTCAGAAACTCCTTTGGATGTGTGTGCTCAATTAACAGAGTTGAACCTTTCTATTGACAGAGCAGTTTCAAAACACTGCTTTTGTAGACTCTGCTTGTGGATAATTGGAGCTCTTTGAGGAATTCGTTGTAAATGGAATCTCTTCACATGCAAACTAGACAGATGCATTTTCCGAAAGTTCACTGGGATGTGTGCAATTCAACTCACAGACTTGAAACTTTCTTTTGATAGAGCAGTGTGGAAACAAGCTTTTTGTAGAATCCGCAAGAGTTCCTTTGGAGCGCTTTGTTGCCTACGGTGGAAAAAGCAATATCTTCAAATAAAAACTAGACAGAAGCATTCTCAGGAACTTCACTGAGATGTGTGCATTTAACTAACAGAGTTGAATCTGTCTTTAGATAGACCAGCATTTAAGCACTCCTTTTGTAGAATCTGCTTGTGGATACTTGGAACTCTTTGAAGAATTCGTTGGAAACGGGTATCTTCACATGAAAAGTAGACCCAAGCATTCTCAGAAACTTCTTCGTGATATGTGAATTCACCTCTTGGAGTGGAACCCTTCTTTTGATAGAGCGGTTTAGAGGCCGTCTTTTATGAGGATCTGCCAGTTCTCATTTGGAGCGCTTTGAAGCCTATGGTGGAAAAGGAGACATATTCACATAAAAACTAGAAAGAAGCATTCTCAGGAACTGCTTTGTGATGTGTGCATTCAACTCACGGACTTGAACCTTCCCTTTGAGAGAGCGGTTTTGAAACAGTCTTTTTGTAGTATCTGAAATTGGATATTTAGAGCGACTTGAGTCCTATGATGGAAAAGGGAATATCCTCACATAAAAATTGGACAGAAGCATTTTCAGAAACTGCCTTGTGATGTGTGCATTCAACTCACAGAGTTGAACCTTCCTTTTGAGAGAGAACTTTTGAAACAGTCTTTTTGTAGTATTTGCAAGTGGATATTTGGAGCGATTTGAGGCCTATGATGGAAAAGGAAATAACTTCAGAAACAAACTAGACAGAAGCATTCTCAGAAACTGCTTCGTAACGTGTGCATTCAACTCACGGAGTCGAACCTTCCTTTTGAGAGAGCGGTTTTGAAACAGTCTTCTTGTAGTATCCGCAAGTGGATATTTGCAGTGATTTGAGGCCGAAGAAGGAAAAGGAAATACCTTCAAATAAAAAGCTAGACGGAAGCATTTTCTGAAACTCCTTTGTGATGTGTGTGTTCAATTCACATCGTTGAACCTTTCTTTTGATAGAGCAGTGTTGAAACATACTTTTTGTAGAATCTGCAAGTGTTCATTTCGAATACTTTTTTACTTATGTTGGAAAAAGTGATATCTTCACCTGAAAAATAGACAGAAGCATTCTCAGAAAGTTCGTTGTGATGTGTGCATTCAAATCACAAACTTGAAACTTTCTTTTGATAGAGCAGTGTTGAAACACACTTTTTGTAGAACCCCCAAGTATTCATTTGGAACGCTTTGTTGCCTATGTGGGAAAAGGTAATATCGTCACTTAAACACTAGACAGAAGCCTTCTCAGGAACTTCACTGAGATGTGTGCATTCAACTAACAGAGTTGAAACTGTCTTTTGACAGAGCAGGAATGAAACACTCCTTTTGCAGTATCTGACTGTGTATATTTGGAACTCTTTGAGGTATTCATTGGAAACGGGTATCTTCACATAAAAAGTAGACCCAAGCATTCTCAGGAACTGCTTTGTGATGTGTGCATTCAACTCACACAGTTGAACCTTCCTTTTGAGAGAGCAGTTTGGAATCAGTCTTTTCGTAGGACCTGCAAGTTTTCATTTGGAGCGCTGTGAAGCCTATGGTGGAAAAGGGAATATCTTCACAAAAAACTAGGCAGAAGCAGTCTGAGGAACTGCTTTGTGATGTGTGCATTCAACTCACAGATTTGAACTTTCCTTTTGAGAGGGAGGTTTTGAAACAGTCTGTTTGTAGTATCTGCAAGTGGATATTTGTAGTGACTTGGGGCCTCGGATGGAAAAGGAAATACCTTCACATACAAACTAGACAGAAGCATTCTCAGAAACTCCTTTGTGATGTTTGTGTTCAATTCCCAGAGCTGAACCTTTCCTTTGATAGAGCAGGTTTGAAGCACTGCTTTTGTAGAATCTGCTTCCAGATATTTAGAGCTCTTGGAGGAATTCGTTGTAAACGGGATATCTTCACATTGAAACTAGACAGTATCGTTCTCAGAAACTGCTTTGTGATGTGTGCAGTCAACTCACAGACTTGGACTTTTCTTTTGATAGAGCAGTGTTAAAACACAGATTTTGTGAAATCTGCAAGTGTTCATTTGCAGCGTATTGTTGCCTATGGTAGAAAAAGAATTATCTTCATAGAAACACTAGACAGAAGCATCCTCAGAAACTGCTTTCTGTTGTGTGTGTTCCACTCACGGTCTCGAACCTTTATTTGGATAGAGCAGTGTTGAAACACACTTTCTGTAGAATCTGCAAGTTTTCATTCCGTGTGCTTTGTTGCCTATGGTGGAAAGAAAATATCGTTACTTAAAAAGGTAGACAGAAGCATTCTCAAAAAGTGCTATGTGATGTGTGCATTCAACTCACACAGTTGAACCTTCCTTTTGAGAGAGCAGTTTTGAAAGTCTCTTTGTTGTATCTGCAAGTGGATGTTTTAGCGATTTGAGGCCATTTAGATGGAAAAGCAAATGACTTCACATACAAACCAGACAGAAGGATTCTCAGAAACTCCTTTGGATGTGTGTGTTCAATTAACAGAGTTGAACCTTTCTATTGATAGAGCAGTTTTATAACACTGCTTTTGTAGAATCTGCTTGTGGATATTTGGAGCTCTTTGAGGAATTCATTGTAAATGGAATATCTTCACATACAAACTAGACAGATGCTTTCTCCGAAAGTTCACTGGGATGTGTGCATTCAACTCACAGACTTGAAACTTTCTTTTGATAGAGCAGTGTAGAAACACGCTTTTTGTACAATCTGCAAGAGTTCCTTTGGAGCGCTTTGTTGCCTATGGTGGAAAAAGGAATATCTTGAAATAAAAGCTAGACAGAAGCATTCTCAGGAACTTCACTGAGATGTGTGCATTTAACTAACAGAGTTGAATCTGTCTTTAGATAGACCAGCATTTAAGCACTCCTTTTGTAGAATCTGCTTGTGGATACTTGGAACTCTTTGAAGAATTCGTTGGAAACGGGTATCTTCACATGAAAAGTAGACCCAAGCATTCTCAGAAACTTCTTCGTGATATGTGGATTCACCTCTTGGAGTGGAACCCTTCTTTTGATAGAGCGGTTTTGAGGCAGTCTTTTATGAAGATCTGCCAGTTCTCATTTGGAGCGCTTTGAAGCCTATGGTGGAAAAGGAGATATATTCACATAAAAACTTGAAAGAAGTATTCTCAGAAACTCCATTGTGATGTGTGCACTCAACTCACAGAGTTGAACCTTCCTTTTGAGAGAACAGTTTTGAAACAGTCTTCTTGTAATGTCTGCAAGTGGATATTTGGAGCGACTTGAGGCCTATGATGGAAAAGGGAATATCTTCACATAAAAATAGGACAGAAGCATTCTCAGAAACTGCTTTTGTGATGTGTGCTTTCAACTCACAGAGTTGAACCTTCCATTGGAGAGAGCAGTGTTGAAACGGTATTTTTGTAGTATCTGCAAGTGGATATTTGGAGCGATTGGAGGCCTATGATGGAAAAGGAAATATCTTCACATACAAACTAGACAGAAGCATTCTCAGAAACTCCTTTGTGATGTTTGTGTTCAATTCCCAGAACTGAACCTTTCTTTTGATAGAGCAGGTTTGAAGCACTGCTTTTGTAGAATCTGCTTCCAGATATTTAGAGCTCTCGGAGGAATTCGTTGTAAACGGGATATCTTCACATTCTAACTAGACAGAATCATTCTCAGAAACTGATTTGTGATGTGTGCAATCTACTCACAGACTTGGACATTTGTTTTGATACAGCAGTGTTAAAACACAGTTTTTGTGAAATCTGCAAGTGTTCATTTGCAGCGTATTGTTGCCTATGGTAGAAGAAGAATTATCTTCATAGAAACACTAGACAGAAGCATCCTCAGAAACTGCTTTCTGTTGTGTGTGTTCAACTCACGGTCTCGAACCTTTATTTGGAGAGAGCAGTGTTGAAACACACTTTTTGTAGAATCTGCAAGTTTTCATTCCGTGTGCTTTGTTGTCTATGGTGGAAAGAAAATATCGTTACTTAAAAATGTAGACAGAAGCATTCTCAAAAACTGCTTTGTGACGTGTGCATTCAAGTCACACAGTTGAACCTTCCTTTTGAGAGAGCAGTTTTGAAAGTCTTTTGGTAGTATCTGCAAGTGGATCTTTTAGCGATTTGAGGCGATTTAGTTGGAAAAGGAAATGACTTCACATACAAACCAGACAGAAAGATTCTCAGAAACTCCTTAGGATGTGTGTGTTCAATTAACAGTGTTGAACCTTTCTATTGATAGAGCAGTTTCAAAACACTGCTTTTGTAGAATCTGCTTGTGGATATTTGTAGCTCTTTGAGGAATTCGTTGTAAATGGAATCTCTTCACATACAAACTAGACAGATGCATTTTCCGAAAGTTCACTGGGATGTGTGCAATTCAACTCACAGACTTGAAACTTTCTTTTGATAGAGCAGTGTGGAAACACGCTTTTTGTAGAATCCGCAAGAGTTCCTTTGGAGCGCTTTGTTGCCTACGGTGGAAAAAGCAATATCTTCAAATAAAAACTAGACAGAAGCATTCTCAGGAACTTCACTGAGATGTGTGCATTTAACTAACAGAGTTGAATCTGTCTTTAGATAGACCAGCATTTAAGCACTCCTTTTGCAGAATCTGCTTGTGGATACTTGGAACTCTTTGAAGAATTCGTTGGAAACGGGTATCTTCACATGAAAAGTAGACCCAAGCATTCTCAGAAACTTCTTCATGATATGTGAATTCACCTCTTGGAGTGGAACCCTTCTTTTGATAGAGCGGTTTAGAGGCCGTCTTTTATGAGGATCTGCCAGTTCTCATTTGGAGCGCTTTGAAGCCTATGGTGGAAAAGGAGACATATTCACATAAAAACTAGAAAGAAGCATTCTCAGGAACTGCTTTGTGATGTGTGCATTCAACTCACGGACTTGAACCTTCCCTTTGAGAGAGCAGTTTTGAAACAGTCTTTTTGTAGTATCTGAAATTGGATATTTAGAGCGACTTGAGTCCTATGATGGAAAAGGGAATATCTTCACATAAAAATTGGACAGAAGCATTTTCAGAAACTGCCTTGTGATGTGTGCATTCAACTCACAGAGTTGAACCTTCCTTTTGAGAGAGAACTTTCGAAACAGTCTTTTTGTAGTATTTGCAAGTGGATATTTGGAACGATTTGAGGCCTATGATGGAAAAAGAAATAACTTGAGATACAAATTAGACAGAAGCATTCTCAGAAACTGCTTCGTAACGTGTGCATTCAACTCACAGAGTCGAACCTTCCTTTTGAGAGAGCGGTTTTGAAACAGTCTTTTTGTAGTGTCTGCAAGAGGATATTTGCAGTGATTTGAGGCCGAAGAAGGAAAAGGAAATACCTTCAAATAAAAAACTAGACGGAAGCATTCTCTGAAACTCCTTTGTGATGTGTGTGTTCAATTCACATCGTTGAACCTTTCTTTTGATAGAGCAGTGTTGAAACATACTTTTTGTAGAATCTGCAAGTGTTCATTTCCAGTACTTTTTTACATATGTTGGAAAAAGTGATATCTTCACCTGAAAAATAGACAGAAGCATTCTCAGAAAGTTCTTTTTGATGTGTGCATTCAACTCACAGACTGGAAACTTTCTTTTGATAGAGCAGTGTTGAAACACACTTTTTGTAGAATCCACAAGTATTTATTTGGAGCGCTTTGTTGCCTATGTGGGAAAAGGTGATATCTTCACATTAAAACTAGACTGAAGCCTTCTCAGGAACTTCATTGAGATGTGTGCATTCAACTAACAGAGTTGAAACTGTCTTTTGACAGAGCAGGAATGAAACACTCCTTTTGTAGTATCTGATTGTGTATATTTGGAACTCTTTGAGTTATTCGTTGGAAACGGGTATCTTCACATAAAAAGTAGACCCAAACATTCTCAGAAACTTCTTGTGATGTGTGCCTTCACCTAACAGAGTGGAACCGTTCTTTTGATAGAGCAGTTTTGAATCAGTCTTTTTGTAGGACCTGCAAGTTTTCATTTGGAGCGCTGTGAAGCCTATGGTGGAAAAGGGAATATCTTCAAAAAAAACTAGGCAGAAGCATTCTCAGGAACTGCTTTGTGATGTGTGCCTTAAACTCACGGAGTTCAACCTTCCTTTTGAGAGAGTAGTTTTGAAACAGTCTTTTTGTAGTATCTGAAATTGGATATTTAGAGCGACTTGAAGCCAATGATGAAAAAAGTAATTTCTTCACATAAAAATTGGACAGAAGCATTTTCAGAAACTGCCTTGTGATGTGTGCATTGAACTCACAGAGTTGAACCTTCCTTTTGAGAGAGAAGTTTTGAAGCAGTCTTTTGGTAGTATTTGCAAGTGGATATGTGGAGCGATTTGAGGCCTATGATGGAAAAGGAAATAACTTCAGGTACAAACTAGACAGAAGCATTCTCAGAAACTGCTTCGTAACGTGTGCATTCAACTCACGGAGTCGAACCTTCCTTTTGAGAGAGCGGTTTTGAAACAGTCTTCTTGTAGTATCCGCAAGTGGATATTTGCAGTGATTTGAGGCCGAAGAAGGAAAAGGAAATACCTTCAAATAAAAAGCTAGACGGAGGCATTCTCTGAAACTCCTTTGTGATGTGTGTGTTCAATTCACATCGTTGAACCTTTCTTTTGATAGAGCAGTGTTGAGACATCCTTTTTGTAGAATCTGCAAGTGTTCATTTCGAGTACTTTTTTACGTATGTTGGAAAAAGTGATATCTTCACCTGAAAAATAGACAGAAGCATTCTCAGAAAGTTCGTTGTGATGTGTGCATTCAACTCACAGACTTGAAACTTTCTTTTGATAGAGCAGTGTTGAAGCACACTTTTTGTAGAACCCCCAAGTATTCATTTGGAGCACTTTGTTGCCTATGTGGGAAAAGGTAATATCGTCACTTAAACACTAGACAGAAGCCTTCTCAGGAACTTCATTGAGATGTGTGCCTTCAACTAAAAGAGTTGAAACTGTCTTTTGACAGAGCAGGAGTGAAACACTCCTTTTGCTGTATCTGACTGTGTATATTTGGAACTCTTTGAGTTATTCATTGGAAACGGGTATCTTCACATAAAAAGTAGACCCAAGCATTCTCAGGAACTGCTTTGTGATGTGTGCATTCAACTCACACAGTTGAACCTTCCTTTTGAGAGAGCAGTTTGGAATCAGTCTTTTGGTAGGACCTGCAAGTTTTCATTTGGAGCGCTGTGAAGCCTATGGTGGAAAAGGGAATATCTTCACAAAATCTAGGCAGAAGCATTCTCAGAAACTGCTTTGTGATGTGTGCATTCAACTCACAGAGTTGAACCTTCCATTGGAGAGAGCAGTGTTGAAACGGTATTTTTGTAGTATCTGCAAGTGGATATTTGTAGCGATTTGAGGCCTATGGTGGAAAAGGAAATATCTTCACATACGAACTAGACAGAAGCATTCTCAGAAACTCCTTTGTGATGTTTGTGTTCAGTTCCCCGAGTTGAACCTTTCCTTTGATAGAGCAGGTTTGAAGCACTGCTTTTGTAGAATCTGCTTCCAGATATTTAGAGCTCTCGGAGGAATTCGGTGTAAACGGGATATCTTCACATTCTAACTAGACTAGACAGAATCATTCTCCGAAACTGCTTTGTGATGTGTGCAGTCAACTCACAGACTTGGACCTTTGTTTTGATAGAGCAGTGTTAAAACACAGTTTCCGTGAAATCTGCAAGTGTTCATTTGCAACGTATTGTTGTCTATGGTAGAAAAAGAATTATCTTCATAGAAACACTAGACAGAAGCATCCTCAGAAACTGCTTTCTGTTGTGTGCGTTCAACTCACGGACTCGAACCTTTCTTTGGATAGAGCAGTGTTGAAACACACTTTTTGTAGAATCCGCAAGATTTCATTCTGTGTGCTTTGTTGCCTATGGTGGAAAGAAAATATCGTTACATAAAAAGCTAGACAGAAGCATTCTCAGAAACTGCTATGTGATGTGTGTATTCAACTCACACAGTTGAAACTTCCTTTTGAGAGAGCAGTTTTGAAAGTCTTTTTGTAGTATCTGCAAGTGGATCTTTTAGTGATTTGAGGCGATTTAGATGGAAAAGGAAATGACTTCACATACAAACCAGTCAGAAGGATTCTCAGAAACTCCTTTGGATGTGTGTGCTCAATTAACAGAGTTGAACCTTTCTATTGACAGAGCAGTTTCAAAACACTGCTTTTGTAGACTCTGCTTGTGGATAATTGGAGCTCTTTGAGGAATTCGTTGTAAATGGAATCTCTTCACATGCAAACTAGACAGATGCATTTTCCGAAAGTTCACTGGGATGTGTGCAATTCAACTCACAGACTTGAAACTTTCTTTTAATAGAGCAGTGTGGAAACACGCTTTTTGTAGAATCCGCAAGAGTTCCTTTGGAGCGCTTTGTTGCCTACGGTGGAAAAAGAAATATCTTCAAATAAAAACTAGACAGAAGCATTCTCAGGAACTTCACTGAGATGTGTGCATTTAACTAACAGAGTTGAATCTGTCTTTAGATAGACCAGCATTTAAGCACTCCTTTTGTAGAATCTGCTTGTGGATACTTGGAACTCTTTGAAGAATTCGTTGGAAACGGGTATCTTCACATGAAAAGTAGACCCAAGCATTCTCAGAAACTTCTTCGTGATATGCGAATTCACCTCTTGGAGTGGAACCCTTCTTTTGATAGAGCGGTTTTGAGGCCGTCTTTTATGAGGATCTGACAGTTCTCATTTGGAGCGCTTTAAAGCCTATGGTGGAAAAGGAGATATATTCACATAAAAACTAGAAAGAAGCATTCTCAGGAACTGCTTTGTGATGTGTGCATTCAACTCACGGACTTGAACCTTCCCTTTGAGAGAGCGGTTTTGAAACAGTCTTTTTGTAGTATCTGAAATTGGATATTTAGAGCGACTTGAGTCCTATGATGGAAAAGGGAATATCCTCACACAAAAATTGGACAGAGCAAGCTCCGCCTCCCGGGTTCACGCCATTCTCCTGCCTCAGCCTCCCGAGTAGCTGGGACTGAACCTTTCTTTTGATAGAGCAGTGTTGAAACATCCTTTTTGTAGAATCTGCAAGTGTTCATTTCAAGTACTTTTTTACGTATGTTGGAAAAAGTGATATCTTCACCTGAAAAATAGACAGAAG
>NC_000005.10:46546526-46553015 GCF_000001405.40 Homo sapiens
AGCATTCTCAGAAACTGCTTCGTAACGTGTGCATTCAACTCACAGAGTCGAACCTTCCTTTTGAGAGAGCGGTTTTGAAACAGTCTTTTTGTAGTGTCTGCAAGTGGATATTTGCAGTGATTTGAGGCCAAAGAAGGAAAAGGAAATACCTTCAAATAAAAAACTAGACGGAAGCATTCTCTGAAACTCCTTTGTGATGTGTGTGTTCAATTCACATCGTTGAACCTTTCTTTTGATAGAGCAGTGTTGAAACATACTTTTTGTAGAATCTGCAAGTGTTCATTTCCCGTACTTTTTTACGTATGTTGGAAAAAGTGATATCTTCACCTGAAAATTAGACAGAAGCATTCTCAGAAAGTTCGTTGTGATGTGTGCATTCAACTCTCAGACTTGAAACTTTCTTTTGATAGAGCAGTGTTGAAACACACTTTTTGTAGAACCCCCAAGTATTCATTTGGAGCGCTTTGTTGCCTATGTGGGAAAAGGTAATATCGTCACTTAAACACTAGACAGAAGCATTCTCAGAAACTGCTTTGTGATGTGTGCATTCAACTCACAGAGTTGAACCTTCCTTTTCAGAGAGAGCAGTTTTGAAACAGTCTTTTTGTAGTATCTGCAAGCGGATATTTGGAGCGATTTGAGGCCTATGATGGAAAAGGAAATATCTTCACATAAAAACTAGACAGAAGCAGTCTCAGGAACTGCTTTGTGATGTGTGCAGTCAACTCCTAGACTTGAAGTTTCCTTTTGAGAGAGAGGTTTTGAAACAGTCTTTTTACAGTATCTGCAAGTGGATATTTGTAGTGATTTGAGGCCTAAGATGGAAAAGGAAATATCTTCACATACAAACTCGACAGAAGCATTCTCAGAAACTGCTTTGTGATGTGCGCATTCAACTCACAGAGTTGAACCTTCCTTTTGAGAGAGCAGTTATGAAACAGTCTTTTTGTAGTATCTGCAAGTGGATATTTGGAGCGATTTGTGACCTATGATGGAAAAGGGAATAACTTCACATACAAATTAGACAGAAGCATTCTCAGAAACTACTTTGTGATGTGTGCATTCAACTCACAGAGTTGAACCTTCCATTTGAGAGAGCAGTGTTGAAACGGTATGTTTGAAGTATCTGCAAGTGGATATTTGGAGCGATTTGAGGCCTATGATGGAAAAGGAAATGTCTTCACATACAAACTAGACAGAATCATTCTCCGAAACTGCTTTGTGATGTGTGCAATCAACTCACAGACTTGGACATTTCTTTTGATAGAGCAGTGTTAAAACACAGTTTTTGTGAAATCTGCAAGTGTTCATTTGCAGCGTATTGTTGCCTATGGTAGAAAAAGTATTATCTTCATAGAAACACTAGACAGAAGCATCCTCGGAAACAGCTTTCTGTTGTGTGCGTTCAACTCACGGACTCGAACCTTTCTTTGGATAGAGCGGTGTTGAAACACACTTTCTGTAGAATCCGCAAGATTTCATTCCGTGTGCTTTGTTGCCTCTGGTGGAAAGAAAATATCGTTACATAAAAAGCTAGACAAAAGCGTTCTCAAAAACTGCTATGTGATGTGTGCATTCAACTCACACAGTTGAACCTTCCTTTTGAGAGAGCAGTTTTGAAAATCTTTTTGTAGTATCTGCAAGTGGATCTTTTAGCCATTTGAGGCTATTTAGATGGAAAAGGAAATGACTTCACATACAAACCAGACAGAAGGTTTCTCAGAAACTCCTTAGGATGTGTGTGTTCAATTAACAGAGTTGAACCTTTCTATCGATAGAGCAGTTTCAAAACACTGCTTTTGTAGAATCTGCTTGTGGATATTTGGAGCTCTTTGAGGAATTCGTTGTAAATGGAATCTCTTCACATACAAACTAGACAGATGCATTCTCCGAAAGTTCACTGGGATGTGTGCATTCAACTCACAGACTTGAAACTTTCTTTTGATAGAGCAGTGTAGAAACACGCTTTTTGTACAACCTGCAAGAGTTCCTTTGGAGCGCTTTGTTGTCTATGGTGGAAAAAGAAATATCTTGAAATAAAAGTTAGACAGAAGCATTCTCAGGAACTTCACTGAGTTGTGTGCATTTAACTAACAGAGTTGAATCTGTCTTTAGATAGACCAGCATTTAAACACTCCTTTTTGTAGAATCTGCATGTGGATATTTCGAACACTTTGAAGAATTCGTTGCAAACGGGTATCTTCACATGAAAAGTAGACCCAAGCATTCTAAGAAACTTCTTCGTGATATGTGAATTCACCTCTTGGAGTGGAACCCTTCTTTTGATACAGCGGTGTTGAGGCAGTCTTTTATGAGGATCTGCCAGTTCTCATTTGGAGCACTTTGAAGCCTATGACGGAAAAGGAGATATATTCACATAAAAACTAGAAAGAAGCATTCTCAGGAACTGCTTTGTGATGTGTGCATTCAACTCACGGACTTGAACCTTCTTTTTGAGAGAGCAGTTTTGAAACAGTCTTTTTGTAGTATCTGAAATTGGATATTTAGAGCGACTTGAGGACTATGATGGAAAAGGGAATATCTTCACATACAAATTGGACAGAAGCATTCCAGAAACTGCTTTGTAATGTGTGCATTCAACTCACAGAGTAAAACCTTCCTTTTGAGAGAGCGGTTTTGAAACAGTCTTTTTGTAGTATCTGCAATTGGATATTTCCAGTGATTTGAGGCCGAAGAAGGAAAAGGAAATACCTTCAGATACAAACTAGACAGAAGCATTCTCTGAAACTCCTTTGTGATGTGTGTGTTCAATTCACATCTTTGAACCTTTCTTTTGATAGAGCAGTGTTGAAACATACTTTTTGTAGAATCTGCAAGTGTTCATTTCGAGTACATTTTTGTGTATGTTGGAAAAAGTGATATCTTCACCTGAAAAATCGACATTAGCATTCTCAGAAAGTTCGTTGTGATGTGTGCATTCAACTCACAGACTGGAAACTTTCTTTTGATAGAGCAGTGTTGAAACACACTTCTTGTAGAACCCACAAGTATTCATTTGGAGCGCTTTGTTGCCTATGTGGGAAAAGGTAATATCGTCACCTAAACACTAGACAGAAGCCTCCTCAGGAACTTCACTGAGATGTGTGCATTCAACTAACATAGTTGAAACTGTCTTTTGACAGAGCAGGAATGAAACACTCCTTTTGCAGTATCTGACTGTGTATATTTGGAACTCTTTGAGTTATTCGTTGGAAACGGGTATCTTCACATAAGAAGTAGACCCAAGCATTCTCAGGAACTGCTTTGTGATGTGTGCATTCAACTCACACAGTTGAACCTTCCTTTTGATAGAGCAGTTTTGAATCAGTCTTTTGGTAGGACCTGGAATTTTTCATTTGGAGCGCTGTGAAGCCCATGGTGGAAAAGGGAATATCTTCACAAAAAACTAGGCAGAAGCATTCTCAGAAACTGCTTTGTGATGTGTGCATTCAACTCACAGAGTTGAACCTTCCATTGGAGAGAGCAGTGTTGAAACGGTATTTTTGTAGTATCTGCAAGTGGATATTTGGAGCGATTGGAGGCCTATGGTGGAAAAGGAAATATCTTCACATACAAACTAGACAGAAGCATTCTCAGAAACTCCTTTGTGATGTTTGTGTTCAATTCCCCGAGCTGAACCTTTCCTTTGACAGAGCAGGTTTGAAGCACTGCTTTTGTAGAATATGCTTCCAGATATTTAGAGCTCTTGGAGGAATTCGTTGTAAGCGGGATATCTTCACATTGAAACTAGACAGTATCATTCTCCGAATCTGCTTTGTGATGTGTGCAATCAACTCACAGACTTGGACATTTCTTTTGATAGAGCAGTGTTAAAACACAGTTTTTGTGAAATCTGCAAGTGTTCATTTGCAGCGTATTGTTGCCTATGGTAGAAAAAGAATTATCTTCATAGAAATACTAGACAGAGGCATCCTCAGAAACTGCTTTCTGTTGTGTGCGTTCAACTCAGGGACTCGAAAGTTTCTTTGGATAGAGCGGTGTTGAAACACACTTTCTGTAGAATCCGCAAGATTTCATTCCGTGTGCTTTGTTGCCTCTGGTGGAAAGAAAATATCGTTACATAAAAAGCTAGACAGAAGCATTCTCAAAAACTGCTATGTGATGTGTGCATTCAACTCACACAGTTGAACCTTCCTTTTGAGAGAGCAGTTTTGAAAGTCTTTTTGTAGTATCTGTGAGGGGATCTTTTAGCGATTTGAGGCCATTTAGATGGAAAAGGAAATGACTTCACATACAAACCAGACAGAAGGATTCTCAGAAACTCCTTTGGATGTGTGTGCTCAATTAACAGAGTTGAACCTTTCTATTGACAGAGCAGTTTCAAAACACTGCTTTTGTAGACTCTGCTTGTGGATAATTGGAGCTCTTTGAGGAATTCGTTGTAAATGGAATCTCTTCACATGCAAACTAGACAGATGCATTTTCCGAAAGATCACTGGGATGTGTGCAATTCAACTCACAGACTTGAAACTTTCTTTTGATAGAGCAGTGTAGAAACACGCTTTTTGTAGAATCCGCAAGAGTTCCTTTGGAGCACCTTGTTGCGTATGGTGGAAAAAGAAATATCTTCAAATAAAAACTAGACAGAAGCATTCTCAGGAACTTCACTGAGATGTGTGCATTTAACTAACAGAGTTGAATCTGTCTTTAGATAGACCAGCATTTAAGCACTCCTTTTGTAGAATCTGCTTGTGGATACTTGGAACTCTTTGAAGAATTCGTTGGAAACGGGTATCTTCACATGAAAAGTAGACCCAAGCATTCTCAGAAACTTCTTTCGTGATATGCGAATTCACCTCTTGGAGTGGAACCCTTCTTTTGATAGAGCGGTTTTGAGGCCGTCTTTTATGAGGATCTGACAGTTCTCATTTGGAGCGCTTTAAAGCCTATGGTGGAAAAGGAGATATATTCACATAAAAACTAGAAAGAAGCATTCTCAGGAACTGCTTTGTGATGTGTGCATTCAACTCACGGACTTGAACCTTCCCTTTGAGAGAGCAGTTTTGAAACAGTCTTTTTGTAGTATCGGAAATTGGATATTTAGAGCGACTTGAGGCCTATGATGGAAAAGGGAATATCCTCACATAAAAACTGGACAGAAGCATTTTCAGAAACTGCCTTGTGATGTGTGCATTCAACTCACAGAGTTGAACCTTCCTTTTGAGAGAGAACTTTTGAAACAGTCTTTTTGTAGTATTTGCAAGTGGATATTTGGAGCGATTTGAGGCCTATGATGGAAAAGGAAATAACTTCAGAAACAAACTAGACAGAAGCATTCTCAGACAATGCTTTGCTACGTGTGCATTCAACTCACAGAGTTGAACCTTTCTTTGAGAGAGCAGTTTTGAAACAGTCTTTTTGTAGTATCTGAAAGTGGATATTTGCAGTGATTTGAGGCCGAAGAAGGAAAAGGAAATACCTTCAAATAAAAAACTAGACGGAAGCATTCTCTGAAACTCCTTTGTGATGTGTGTGTTCAATTCACATCGTTGAACCTTTCTTTTGATAGAGCAGTGTTGAAACATACTTTTTGTAGAATCTGCAAGTGTTCATTTCGAGTACTTTTTTGTGTGTGTTGGAAAAAGTGATATCTTCACCTGAAAAATAGACAGAAGCATTCTCAGAAAGTTCGTTGTGATGTGTGCATTCAACTCACAGACTTGAAACTTTCTTTTGATAGAGCAGTGTTGAAACACACTTTTTGTAGAACCCACAAGTATTCATTTGGAGCGCTTTGTTGCCTATGTGGGAAAAGGTAATATCGTCACTTAAACACTAGACAGAAGCCTTCTCAGGAACTCAACTGAGATGTGTGCATTCAACTAACAGAGTTGAAACTGTCTTTTGACAGAGCAGGAATGAAACACTCCTTTTGTAGTATCTGATTGTGTATATTTGGAACTCTTTGAGTTATTCGTTGGAAACGGGTATCTTCACATAAAAAGTAGACCCAAGCATTCTCAGGAACTGCTTTGTGATGTGTGCATTCAACTCACACAGTTGAACCTTCCTTTTGAGAGAGCAGTTTGGAATCAGTGTTTTGGTAGGACCTGCAAGTTTTCATTTGGAGCGCTGTGAAGCCTATGGTGGAAAAGGGAATATCTTCACAAAATCTAGGCAGAAGCATTCTCAGAAACTGCTTTGTGATGTGTGCATTCAACTCACAGAGTTGAACCTTCCATTGGAGAGAGCAGTGTTGAAACGGTATTTTTGTAGTATCTGCAAGTGGATATTTGGAGCGATTTGAGGCCTATGATGGAAAAGGAAATATCTTCACATACAAACTAGACAGAAGCATTCTCAGAAACTCCTTTGTGATGCTTGTGTTCAATTCCCGGAGCTGAACCTTTCCTTTGATAGAGCAGGTTTGAAGCACTGCTTTTGTAGAATCTGCTTCCAGATATTTAGAGCTCTCGGAGGAATTCGTTGTAAACGGGATATCTTCACATTCTAACTAGACTAGACAGA
>NC_000005.10:46553115-46563966 GCF_000001405.40 Homo sapiens
AGCATTCTCAGAAACTACTTTGTGATGTGTGTTTTGAATTCACAGAGTTGAAAATTTCTTTTGATAGAGCAGTTTTTTTTATTTTTTTAGGTACTTTATGTTTTAGGGTGCATTTGCTCATTTTGCAGTTTATTTACATATGTGTACATGTGCCATGCTGGTGCACTGCATCTACTAACTCGTCATCTAGCATTAGGTATATCTCCCAATGCTCTCCCTCACCCCGATCCCCCACCCCAGAACTGTCCCCAGAGTGTGATAATCCCCTTCCTGTGTCCATGTGATCTCATTGTTGAATTCCCACCTATGAGTGAGAATATGTGGTGTTTCGTTTTTTGTTCTTGTGATGGTTTACTGAGAATGATGTTTTCCAATTTCATCCATGTCCCTACAAAGGACATGAACTCATCATGTTTTATGGCTGCATAGTATTCCATGGTGTATATGTGCCACATTTTTTTAGTCCAGTATATCATTGTTGGACATTTGGGTTGGTTCCAAGTATTTCCTATTGTGAATAGTGCCACAATAAACATACTTGTGCATGTGTCTTTATAGCAGCATGATTTATAGTCCTTTGGGTATATACCCAGTAAGCATCCTCAGAAACTGCTTTCTGTTGTGTGCGTTCAACTCACGGACTCGAACCTTTCTTTGGATAGAGCAGTGTTGAAACACACTTTTTGTAGAATCCGCAAGATTTCATTCCGTGTGCTTTGTTGCCTCTGGTGGAAAGAAAATATCGTTACATAAAAAGCTAGACAGAAGCATTCTCACAAAGTGCTATGTGATGTGTGCATTCAACTCACACAGTTGAACCTTCCTTTTGAGAGAGCAGTTTTGAAAGTCTCTTTGTAGTATCTGCAAGTGGATCTTTTAGCCATTTGAGGCCATTTAGATGGAAAAGGAAATGACTTCACATACAAACCAGACAGAAGGATTCTCAGAAACTCCTTTGGATGTGTGTGTTCAATTAACAGAGTTGAACCTTTCTATTGATAGAGCAGTTTTAAAACACTGCTTTTGTAGAATCTGCTTGTGGATATTTGGAGCTCTTTGAGGAATTCGTTGTAAATGGAATATCTCCACATACCAACTAGACAGATGCATTCTCCGAAAGTTCACTGGGATGTGTGCATTCAACTCACTTACCTGAAACTTTCTTTTTATAGAACAGTGTAGAAACACGCTTTTTGTAGAATCCGCAAGAATTCATTTGGAGCGCTTTGTTGCCTATGGTGGAAAAAGAAGTATCTTCAAATAAAAAGTAGACAGAAGCATTCTCAGGAACTTCACTGAGATGTGTGCATTTAACTAACAGAGTTTAATCTGTCTTTAGATAGACCAGCATGTAAACACTCCTTTTGTAGAATCTGCTTGTGGATATTTGGAACTCTTTGAAGAATTCGTTGGAAACGTGTATCTTCACATGAAAAGTAGACCCAAGCATTCTCAGAAACTTCTTCGTGATATGTGAATTCACCTCTTGGAGTGGAACCCTTCTTTTGATAGAGCGGTTTTGAGGCAGTCTTTTATTGGGATCTGCCAGTTGTCATTTGGAGCGCTTTGAAGCCTATGGTGGAATAGGAGATATATTCACATAAAAACTAGAAAGAATCATTCTGAGGAACTGCTTTGTGATGTGTGCATTCAACTCACGGACTTGAACCTTCCTTTTGAGAGAGCAGTTTTGAAACAGTCCTTTTGTAGTATCTGTAATTGGATATTTAGAGCGACTTGAGGCCTATGATGGAAAAGGGAATATCTCCACATAATAATTGGACAGAAGCATTCTCAGAAACTGCTTTGTAATGTGTGCATTCAACTGACAGAGTTGAACCTTCCTTTTGAGTGAGAAGTTTTGAAACATTCTTTTTGTAGTATTTGCAAGTGGATATTTGGAGCGATTTGAGGCCTATGATGGAAAAGGAAATAAGTTCAGATACATACTAGACAGAAACATTCTCTGAACCTCCTTTGTGATGTGTGTGTTCAATTCATATCTTTGAACCTTTCTTTTGATAGAGCAGTATTGAAACATACTTTTTGTAGAATCTGCAAGTGTTCATTTGGAGTACTTTTTTGAGTATGTTGGAAAAAGTGATATCTTCACCTAAAAAATAGACAGAAGCATTCTCAGAAAGTTCTTTTTGATGTGTGCATTCAACTCACAGACTTGAAACTTTCTTTTGATAGAGCAGTGTTGAAACACACTTTTTGTAGAATCCTCAAGTATTTATTTGGAGCGCTTTGTTGCCTATGTGGGAAAAGGTGATATCTTCACATTAAAACTAGACTGAAGCCTTCTCAGGAACTTCATTGAGATGTGTGCATTCAACTAACAGAGTTGAAACTGTCTTTTGACAGAGCAGGAGTGAAACACTCCTTTTGCAGTACCTGACTGTGTATATTTGGAACTCTTTGAGTTATTCGTTGGAAACGGGTATCTTCACATAAAAAGTAGACCCAAGCATTCTCAGGAACTGCTTTGTGATGTGTGCATTCAACTCACACAGTTGAACCTTCCTTTTGAGAGAGCAGTTTTGAATCAGTCTTTTGGTAGGACCTGCAAGTTTTCATTTGGAGCACTGTGAAGCCCATGGTGGAAAAGGGAATATCTTCACAAAAAACTAGGCAGAAGCATTCTCAGAAACTGCTTTGTGATGTGTGCATTCAACTCACAGAGTTGAACCTTCCATTGGAGAGAGCAGTGTTGAAACGGTATTTTTGTAGTATCTGCAAGTGGATATTTGGAGCGATTTGAGGCCTATGGTGGAAAAGGAAATATCTTCACATACAAACTAGACAGAAGCATTCTCAGAAACTCCTTTGTGATGCTTGTGTTCAATTCCCCGAGCTGAACCTTTCCTTTGATAGAGCAGGTTTGAAGCACTGCTTTTGTAGAATCTGCTTCCAGATATTTAGAGCTCTCGGAGGAATTCTTTGTAAACGGGATATCTTCACATTCTAACTAGACTAGACAGAATCATTCTCAGAAACTGCTTTGTGATGTGTGCAGTCAACTCACAGACTTGGACCTTTGTTTTGATAGAGCAGTGTTAAAACACAGTTTTTGTGAAATCTGCAAGTGTTCATTTGCAGCGTATTGTTGCCTATGGTAGAAAAAGAATTATCTTCATAGAAACACTAGACAGAAGCATCCTCGGAAACTGCTTTCTGTTGTGTGCGTTCAACTCACGGACTCGAACCTTTCTTTGGATAGAGCGGTGTTGAAACACACTTTCTGTAGAATCCGCAAGATTTCATTCCGTGTGCTTTGCTGCCTCTGGTGGAAAGAAAATATCGTTACATAAAAAGCTAGACAGAAGCATTCTCAAAAACTACTATGTGATGTGTGCATTCAACTCACACAGTTGAACCTTCCTTTTGAGAGAGCAGTTTTGAAAGTCTTTTTGTAGTATCTGCGAATGGATCTTTTAGCGATTTGAGGCCATTTAGATGGAAAAGGAAATGACTTCACATACAAACCAGACAGAAGGTTTCTCAGAAACTCCTTAGGATGTGTGTGTTCAATTAACAGAGTTGAACCTTTCTATCGATAGAGCAGTTTCAAAACACTGCTTTTGTAGAATCTGCTTGTGGATATTTGGAGCTCTTTGAGGAATTCGTTGTAAATGGAATCTGTTCACATACAAACTAGACAGATGCATTTTCCGAAAGTTCACTGCGATGTGTGCAATTCAACTCACAGACTTGAAACTTTCTTTTGATAGAGCAGTGTAGAAACATGCTTTTTGTAGAATCCGCAAGAGTTCCTTTGGAGCGCTTTGTTGCCTATGGTGGAAAAAGAAATATCTTCAAATGAAAACTAGACAGAAGCATTCTCAGGAACTTCACTGAGATGTGTGCATTTAACTAACAGAGTTGAATCTGTCTTTAGATAGACCAGCATTTAAACACTCCTTTTTGTAGAATCTGCATGTGGATATTTCGAACACTTTGAAGAATTCGTTGGAAACGGGTATCTTCACATGAAAAGTAGACCCAAGCATTCTCAGAAACTTCTTCGTGATATGTGAATTCACCTCTTGGAGTGGAACCCTTCTTTTGATAGAGCGGTTTTGAGGCAGTCTTTTATGAAGATCTGCGAGTTCTCATTTCGAGCGCTTTGAAGCCTACGGTGGAAAAGGAGATATATTCACATAAAAACTGGAAAGAAGCATTCTCAGGAACTGCTTTGTGATGTGTGCATTCAACTCACGGACTTGAACCTTCCCTTTGAGAGAGCAGTTTTGAAACAGTCTTTTTGTAGTATCTGAAATTGGATATTTAGAGCGACGTGAGTCCTATGATGAAAAAGGGAATATCCTCACATAAAAATTGGACAGAAGCATTTTCAGAAACTGCCTTGTGATGTGTGCATTCAACTCACAGAGTTGAACCTTCCTTTTGAGAGAGAACTTTTGAAACAGTCTTTTTGTAGTATTTGCAAGTGGATATTTGGAGCGATTTGAGGCCTATGATGCAAAAGGAAATAACTTCAGAAACAAACTAGACAGAAGCATTCTCAGAAACTGCTTCGTAACGTGTGCATTCAACTCACAGAGTCGAACCTTCCTTCTGAGAGAGCGGTTTTGAAACAGTCTTTTTGTAGTATCTGCAAGTGGATATTTGCAGTGATTTGAGGCCGAAGAAGGAAAACGAAATACCTTCAAGTAAAAAACCAGACGGAAGCATTCTCTGAAACTCCTTTGTGATGTGTGTGTTCAATACACATCGTTGAACCTTTCTTTTGATAGAGCAGTGTTGAAACATACTTTTTGTAGAATCTGCAAGTGTTCATTTCGAGTACTTTTTTACGTATGTTGGAAAAAGTGATATCTTCACCTGAAAAATAGACAGAAGCATTCTCAGAAAGTTCGTTGTGATGTGTGCATTCAACTCACAGACTTGAAACTTTCTTTCGATAGAGCAGTGTTGAAACACACTTTTTGTAGAACCCACAAGTATTCATTTGGAGCGCTTTGTTGCCTATGTGGGAAAAGGTAATATCGTCACTTAAACACTAGACAGAAGCCTTCTCAGGAACTTCACTGAGATGTGTGCATTCAACTAACAGAGTTGAAACTGTCTTTTGAGAGAGCAGGAATGAAACACTCCTTTTGCAGTATCTGACTGTGTATATTTGGAACTCCTTGAGTTATTCGTTGGAAACAGGTACCTTAACATAAAAAGTAGACCCAAGCATTCTCAGGAACTGCTTTGTGATGTGTGCATTCAACTCACACAGTTGAACCTTCCTTTTGGGAGAGCAGTTTTGAATCAGTCTTTTTGTAGGACCTGCAAGTTTTCATTTGGAGTGCTGTGAAGCCTATGGTGGAAAAGGGAATATCTTCACAAAAAACTAGGCAGAAGCATTCTCAGAAACTGCTTTGTGATGTGTGCATTCAACTCACAGAGTTGAACCTTCCATTGGAGAGAGCAGTGTTGAAACGGTATTTTTGTAGTATCTGCAAGTGGATATTTGGAGCGATTTAAGGCCTATGATGGAAAAGCAAATATCTTCACATACAAACTAGACAGAAGCATTCTCAGAGACACCTTTGTGATGTTTGGGTTCAATTCCCCGAGCTGAACCTTTCCTTTGATAGAGCAGGTTTGAAGCACTGCTTTTGTAGAATCTGCTTCCAGATATTTAGAGCTCTCGGAGGAATTCGTTGTAAACGGGACATCTTCACATTCTAACTAGACTAGACAGAATCATTCTCAGAAACTGCTTTGTGATGTGTGCAGTCAACTCACAGACTTGGACCTTTGTTTTGATAGAGCAGTGTTAAAACACAGTTTTTGTGAAATCTGCAAGTGTTCATTTGCAGCGTATTGTTGCCTATGGTAGAAATAGAATTATCTTCATAGAAACACTAGACAGAAGCATCCTCAGAAACTGCTTTCTGTTGTGTGCGTTCAACTCACGGACTCGAACCTTTCTTTTTATAGAGCGGTGTTGAAACACACTTTTTATAGATTCCGCAAGATTTCGTTCTGTGGGCTTTGTTGCCTCTGGTGGAAAGAAAATATCGTTACATAAAAAGCTAGACAGAAGCGTTCTCAAAAACTGCTATGTGATGTGCGCATTCAACTCACACAGTTGAACCTTCCTTTTGAGAGAGCAGTTTTGAAAGTCTTTTTGTAGTATCTGCGAGTGGATCTTTTAGCGATTTGAGGCGATTTAGATGGAAAAGGAAATGACTTCACATACAAACCAGACAGAAGGTTTCTCAGAAACTCCTTAGGATGTGTGTGTTCAATTAACAGAGTTGAACCTTTCTATCGATAGAGCAGTTTCAAAACACTGTTTTTGTAGAATCTGCTTGTGGATAGTTGGAGCTCTTTGAGGAATTCGTTGTAAATGGAATCTCTTCACATACAAACTAGACAGATGCATTTTCCGAAAGTTCACTGGGTTGTGTGCAATTCAACTCACAGACTTGAAACTTTCTTTTGATAGAACAGTGTAGAAACACGCTTTTTGTAGAATCCGCAAGAGTTCCTTTGGAGCGCTTTGTTGCCTATGGTGGAAAAAGAAATATCTTCAAATGAAAACTAGACAGAAGCATTCTCAGGAACTTCACTGAGATGTGTGCATTTAACTAACAGAGTTGAATCTGTCTTTAGATAGACCAGCATTTAAGCACTCCTTTTGTAGAATCTGCTTGTGGATACTTGGAACTCTTTGAAGAATTCGTTGGAAACGGGTATCTTCACATGAAAAGTAGACCCAAGCATTCTCAGAAACTTCTTCGTGATATGTGAATTCACCTCTTGGAGTGGAACCATTCTTTTGATAGAGCGGTTTAGAGGCCATCTTTTATGAGGATCTGCCAGTTCTCATTTGGAGCGCTTTGAAGCCTATGGTGGAAAAGGAGATATATTCACATAAAAACTAGAAAGAAGCATTCTCAGGAACTGCTTTGTGATGTGTGCATTCAACTCACGGACTTGAACCTTCCCTTTGAGAGAGCAGTTTTGAAACAGTCTTTTTGTAGTATCTGAAATTGGATATTTAGAGCGACTTGAGTCCTATGATGGAAAAGGGAATATCTTCACATAAAAATTGGACAGAAGCATTTTCAGAAACTGCCTTGTGATGTGTGCATTCAACTCACGGAGTTGAACCTTCCTTTTGAGAGAGAACTTTTGAAACAGTCTTTTTGTAGTATTTGCAAGGGGATATTTGGAGCAATTTGAGGCCTATGATCGAAAAGGAAGTAACTTCAGATACAAACTAGACAGAAGCATTCTCAGAAACTGCTTCGTAACGTGTGCATTCAACTCACAGAGTCGAACCTTCCTTTTGAGAGAGCGGTTTTGAAACAGTCTTTTTGTAGTATCTGCAAGTGGATATTTGCAGTGATTTGAGGCCGAAGAAGGAAAAGGAAATACCTTCAAATAAAAAACGAGACGGAAGCATTCTCTGAAACTCCTTTGTGATGTGTGTGTTCAATTCATATCGTTGAACCTTTCTTTTGATAGAGCAGTGTTGAAACATACTTTTTGTAGAATCTGCAAGTGTCCATTTTGAGTTCTTTTTTGCGTATGTTCGAAAAAGTGATATCTTCACCTGAAAAATAGACAGAAGCATTCTCAGAAAGTTCATTGTGATGTGTGCATTCAACTCACAGACTGGAAACTTTCTTTTGATAGAGCAGTGTTGAAACACACTTCTTGTAGAACCCACAAGTATTCATTTGGAGCGCTTTGTTGCCTATGTGGGAAAAGGTAATATCGTCACCTAAACACTAGACAGAAGCCTCCTCAGGAACTTCACTGAGATGTGTGCATTCAACTAACATAGTTGAAACTGTCTTTTGACAGAGCAGGAATGAAACACTCCTTTTGCAGTATCTGACTGTGTATATTTGGAACTCTTTGAGTTATTCGTTGGAAACGGGTATCTTCACATAAGAAGTAGACCCAAGCATTCTCAGGAACTGCTTTGTGATGTGTGCATTCAACTCACACAGTTGAACCTTCCTTTTGAGAGAGCAGTTTTGAATCAGTCTTTTGGTAGGACCTGCAAGTTTTCATTTGGAGCACTGTGAAGCCCATGGTGGAAAAGGGAATATCTTCACAAAAAACTAGGCAGAAGCATTCTCAGAAACTGCTTTGTGATGTGTGCCTTCAACTCACAGAGTTGAACCTTCCATTGGAGAGAGCAGTGTTGAAACCGTATTTTTGTAGCATCTGCAAGTGGATATTGGGAGCGATTTGAGGCCTATGATGGAAAAGGAAATGTCTTCACATACAAACTAGACAGAAGCATTCTCAGAAACTCCTTTGTGATGTTTGTGTTCAATTCCCAGAACTGAACCTTTCTTTTGATAGAGCAGGTTTGAAGCACTCCTTTTGTAGAATCTGCTTCCAGATATTTAGAGCTCTCGGAGGAATTCGTAGTAAACGGGATATCTTCACATTCTAACTAGAGAGAATCATTCTCAGAAACTGCTTTGTGATGTGTGCAGTCCACTCACAGACTTGGACCTTTGTTTTGATAGAGCAGTGTTAAAACACAGTTTTTGTGAAATCTGCAAGTGTTCATTTGCAGCGTATTGTTGCCTATGGTAGAAAAAGAATTATCTTCATAGAAACACTAGACAGAAGCATCCTCAGAAACTGCTTTCTGTTGTGTGCGTTCAACTCACGGACTCGAAACTTTCTTTGGATAGAACGGTGTTGAAACACACCTTTTGTAGAATCTGCAAGATTTCATTCCGTGTGCTTTGTTGCCTCTGGTGCAAAGAAAATAACGTTACATAGAAAGCTAGACAGAAGCGTTCTCAAAAACTGCTTTGTGATGTGTGCATTCAACTCACACAGTTGAACCTTCCTGTTGAGAGAGCAGTTTTGAAAGTCTTTTTGTAGTATCTGTGAGTGGATCTTTTAGCGATTTGAGGCGATTTAGATGGAAAAGGAAATGACTTCACATACAAACCAGACAGAAGGTTTCTCAGAAACTCCTTAGGATGTGTGTGTTCAATTAACAGAGTTGAACCTTTCTATCGATAGAGCAGTTTCAAAACACTGTTTTTGTAGAATCTGCTTGTGGATATTTGGAGCTCTTTGAGGAATTCGTTGTAAATGGAATCTCTTCACATACAAACTAGACAGACCATGCATTTTCCGAAAGTTCACTGGGATGTGTGCAATTCAACTCACAGACTTGAAACTTTCTTTTCATAGGGCAGTGTAGAAACACGCTTTTTGTAGAATCCGCAAGAGTTCCTTTGGAGCGCTTTGTTGCCTATGGTGGAAAAAGAAATATCTTCAAATAAAAACTAGACAGAAGCATTCTCAGGAACTTCACTGAGATGTGTGCATTTAACTAACAGAGTTGAATCTCTCTTTAGATAGACCAGCATTTAAGCACTCCTTTTGTAGAATCTGCTTGTGGATACTTGGAACTCTTTGAAGAATTCGTTGGAAACGGGTATCTTCACATGAAAAGTAGACCCAAGCATTCCCAGAAACTTCTTCGTGATAGGTGAATTCACCTCTTGGAGTGGAACCCTTCTTTTGATAGAGCGGTTTTGAGGCCGTCTTTTATGAGGATCTGCCAGTTCTCATTTGGAGCGCTTTGAAGCCTATAGTGGAAAAGGAGATACATTCACATTAAAACTAGAAAGAAGCATTCTCAGGAACTGCTTTGTGATGTGTGCATTCAACTCACGGACTTGAACCTTCCCTTTGAGAGAGCAGTTTTGAAACAGTCTTTTTGTAGTATCTGAAATTGGATATTTAGAGCGACGTGAGTCCTATGATGAAAAAGGGAATATCCTCACATAAAAATTGGACAGAAGCATTTTCAGAAACTGCCTTGTGATGTGTGCATTCAACTCACGGAGTTGAACCTTCCTTTTGAGAGAGAACTTTTGAAACAGTCTTTTTGTAGTATTTGCAAGGGGATATTTGGAGCAATTTGAGGCCTATGATGGAAAAGGAAGTAACTTCAGATACAAACTAGACAGAAGCATTCTCAGAAACTGCTTTCGTAACGTGTGCATTCAACTCACAGAGTCGAACCTTCCTTTTGAGAGAGCGGTTTTGAAACAGTCTTTTTGTAGTGTCTGCAAGTGGATATTTGCAGTGATTTGAGGCCGAAGAAGGAAAAGGAAATACCTTCAAATAAAAAACTAGACGGAAGCAGTCTCAGGAACTGCTTTATGATGTGTGCATTCAACTCGCAGATTTTAGTTTTCCTTTTGAGAGAGAGGTTTTGAAACCGTCTTTTTACAGTATCTATCTGCAAGTGCATATTTGTAGTGATTTGAGGGCTAAGATGGAAAAGGAAATAGCTTCAGATAAAAAACTAGACGGAAGCATTCTCAGAAACTGCTTCGTAACGTGTGCATTCAACTCACAGAGTCAAACCTTCCTTCTGAGAGAGCGGTTTTGAAACAGTCTTTGTGTAGTATCTGCAAGTGGATATTTGCAGTGATTTGAGGCCGAAGAAGGAAAAGGAAATACCTTCAAATAAAAAAACTAGACAGAAGCATTCTCTGAAACTCCTTTGTGATGTGTGTGTTCAATTCACATCGTTGAACCTTTCTTTTGATAGAGCAGTGTTGAAACATACTTTTTGTAGAATCTGCAAGTGTTCATTTCCAGTACTTTTTTACGTATGTTGGAAAAAGTGATATCTTCACCTGAAAAATAGACAGAAGCATTCTCAGAAAGTTCGTTGTGATGTGTGCATTCAACTCACAGACTTGAAACTTTCTTTTGATAGAGCAGTGTTGAAACACACTTGTTGTAGAACCCCCAGGTATTCATTTGGAGCGCTTTGTTGCCTATGTGGGAAAAGGTAATGTCGTCACTTAAACACTAGACAGA
>NC_000005.10:46564066-46569062 GCF_000001405.40 Homo sapiens
AGCATTCTCTGAAACTCCTTTGTGATGTGTGTGTTCAATTCACATCGTTGAACCTTTCTTTTTTTTTTTTATTTTTTTTTTTTTTTTTTTGAAACGGAGTCTCGCTCTGTCGCCCAGGCTGGAGTGCAGTGGCGCGATCTCGGCTCACTGCAAGCTCCGCCTTCCGGGTTCACGCCATTCTCCTGCCTTAGCCTCCCGAGTAGCTGGGACAGCATTCTCAGGAACTGCTTTGTGATGTGTGCATTCAACTCACACAGTTGAACCTTCCTTTTGAGAGAGCAGTTTTGAATCAGTCTTTTGGTAGGACCTGGAATTTTTCATTTGGAGCGCTGTGAAGCCCATGGTGGAAAAGGGAATATCTTCACAAAAAACTAGGCAGAAGCATTCTCAGAAACTGCTTTGTGATGTGTGCATTCAACTCACAGAGTTGAACCTTCCATTGGAGAGAGCAGTGTTGAAACGGTATTTTTGTAGTATCTGCAAGTGGATATTTGGAGCGATTTGAGGCCTATGATGGAAAAGGAAATATCTTCACATACAAACTAGACAGAGGCATTCTCAGAAACTCCTTTGTGATGTTTGTGTTCAATTCCCCGAGCTGAACCTTTCCTTTGATAGAGCAGGTTTGAAGCACTGCTTTTGTAGAATCTGCTTCCAGATATTTAGAGCTCTCGGAGGAATTCGTTGTAAACGGGATATCTTCACATTCTAACTAGACTAGACAGAATCATTCTCCGAAACTGCTTTGTGATGTGTGCAATCAACTCACAGACTTGGACATTTCTTTTGATAGAGCAGTGTTAAAACACAGTTTTTGTGAAATCTGCAAGTGTTCATTTGCAACGTATTGTTGCCTATGGTAGAAAAAGAATTATCTTCATAGAAACACTAGACAGAATGCATCCTCAGAAACTGCTTTCTGTTTTGTGCGTTCAACTCACGGACTCGAACCTTTCTTTGGATAGAGCGGTGTTGAAACACACTTTTTGTAGAATCCGCAAGATTTCGTTCCGTGTGCTTCGTTGCCTCTGGTGGAAAGAAAATATCGTTACATAAAAAGCTAGACAGAAGCGTTCTCAAAAACTGCTATGTGATGTGTGCATTCAACTCACACAGTTGAACCTTCCTTTTGAGAGAGCAGTTTTGAAAGTCTTTTTGTAGTATCTGCAAGTGGATCTTTTAGCCATTTGAGGCTATTTAGATGGAAAAGGAAATGACTTCACATACAAACCAGACAGAAGGATTCTCAGAAACTCCTTTGGATGTGTGTGTTCAATTAACAGAGTTGAACCTTTCTATTGATAGAGCAGTTTTAAAACACTGCTTTTGTAGAATCTCCTTGTGGATATTTGGAGCTCTTTGAGGAATTCATTGTAAATGGAATATCTTCACATACAAACTAGACAGATGCATTCTCCGAAAGTTCACTGGGATGTGTTCATTCAACTCACAGACTTGAAACTTTCTTTTGATAGAACAGTGTAGAAACACACTTTTGTAGAATCTGCAAGAGTTCCCTTGGAGCGCTTTGTTGCCTATGGTGGAAAAAGAAATATCTTCAAATAAAAACTAGACAGAAGCTTTCTCAGGAACTTCACTGAGATGTGTGCATTTAACTAAGAGAGTTGAATCTGTCTTTAGATAGACCAGCATTTAAACACTCCTTTTGTAGTATCTGCAGGTGGATATTTGGAACTCTTTGAAGAATTCTTTGGAAACGGGTATCTTCACATGAAAAGTAGACCCAAGCATTCTCAGAAACTTCTTCGTGGTGTGTGAATTCACCTCTTGGAGTGG
The DNA here is from genome assembly GCF_000001405.40 of Homo sapiens. Lineage (NCBI taxonomy): Eukaryota > Metazoa > Chordata > Mammalia > Primates > Hominidae > Homo > Homo sapiens. The sequence continues at coordinate 46,565,864 of NC_000005.10, forward strand.
AACCCTTCTTTTGATAGAGCGGTTTTGAGGCAGTCTTTTATGAGGATCTGCCAGTTCTCATTTGGAGCGCTTTGAAGCCTATGGTGGAAAAGGAGATATATTCACATAAAAACTGGAAAGAAGCAATCTCTGGAACTGCTTTGTGATGTGTGCATTCAACTCACGGTGTTGAACCTTCCTTTTGAGAGAGCAGTTTTGAAACAGTCTTTTTGTAGTATCTGAAATTGGATATTTAGAGTGACTTGAGTCCTATGATGGAAAAGGGAATATCTTCACATAAAAATTGGACAGAAGCATTTTCAGAAACTGCCTTGTGATGTGTGCATTCAACTCACAGAGTTGAACCTTCCTTTTGAGAGAGAACTTTTGAAACAGTCTTTTTGTAGTATTTGCAAGTGGATATTTGGAGCGATTTGAGGCCTGTGATGGAAAAGGAAATAACTTCAGATACAAACTAGACAGAAGCATTCTCAGAAACTGCTTCGTAACGTGTGCATTCAACTCACAGAGTCGAACCTTCCTTTTGAGAGAGCGGTTTTGAAACAGTCTTTTTGTAGTGTCTGCAAGTGGATATTTGCAGTGATTTGAGGCCGAAGAAGGAAAAGGAAATACCTTCAAATAAAAAACTAGACGGAAGCATTCTCTGAAACTCCTTTGTGAAGTGTGTGTTCAATTCACATCGTTGAACCTTTCTTTTGATAGAGCAGTGTTGAAACATCCTTTTTGTAGAATCTGCAAGTGTTCATTTCGAGTACTTTTTTACGTATGTTGGAAAAAGTGATATATTCACCTGAAAAATAGAAAGAAGCATTCTCAGAAAGTTCGTTGTGATGTGTGCATTCAACTCACAGACTGGAAACTTTCTTTTGATAGAGCAGTGTTGAAACACACTTTTTGTAGAACCCACAAGTATTCATTTGGAGCGCTTTGTTGCCTATGTGGGAAAAGGTAATATCGTCACCTAAACACTAGACAGAAGCCTTCTCAGGAACTTCATTGAGATGTGTGCATTCAACTAACAGAGTTGAAACTGTCTTTTGACAGAGCAGGAGTGAAACACTCCTTTTGCAGTACCTGACTGTGTATATTTGGAACTCTTTGAGTTATTCGTTGGAAACGGGTATCTTCACATAAAAAGTAGACCCAAGCATTCTCAGGAACTGCTTTGTGATGTGTGCATTCAACTCACACAGTTGAACCTTCCTTTTGGGAGAGCAGTTTTGAATCAGTCTTTTTGTAGGACCTGCAAGTTTTCATTTGGAGCGCTGTGAAGCCTATGGTGGAAAAGGGAATATCTTCACAAAAAACTAGGCAGAAGCATTCTCAGAAACTGCTTTGTGATGTGTGCATTCAACTCACAGAGTTGAACCTTCCATTGGAGAGAGCAGTGTTGAAACGGTATTTTTGGAGTATCTGCAAGTGGATATTTGGAGCGATTTGAGGCCTATGATGGAAAAGGAAATATCTTCACATACAAACTAGACAGAAGCATTCTCAGAAACTCCTTTGTGATGCTTGTGTTCAATTCCCCGAGCTGAACCTTTCCTTTGATAGAGCAGGTTTGAAGCACTGCTTTTGTAGAATCTGCTTCCAGATATTTAGAGCTCTCGGAGGAATTCGTTGTAAACGGGATATCTTCACATTCTAACTAGACTAGACAGAATCATTCTCAGAAACTGATTTGTGATGTGTGCAATCTACTCACAGACTTGGACATTTGTTTTGATACAGCAGTGTTAAAACACAGTTTTTGTGAAATCTGCAAGTGTTAATTTGCAGCGAATTGTTGCCTATGGTAGAAAAAGAATTATCTTCATAGAAACACTAGACAGAAGCATCCTCAGAAACTGCTTTCTGTTGTGTGTGTTCCACTCACGGTCTCGAACATTTATTTGGATAGAGCAGTGTTGAAACACACTTTTTGTAGAATCTGCAAGTTTTCATTCCGTGTGCTTTGTTGCCTATGGTGGAAAGAAAATATCGTTACTTAAAAAGGTAGACAGAAGCGTTCTCAAAAACTGCTATGTGATGTGTGCATTCAACTCACACAGTTGAACCTTCCTTTTGAGAGAGCAGTTTTGAAAGTCTTTTTGTAGTATCTGCGAGTGGATCTTTTAGCGATTTGAGGCGATTTAGATGGAAAAGGAAATGACTTCACATACAAACCAGACGGAAGGATTCTCAGAAACTCCTTTGGATGTGTGTGTGTTCAATTTACAGAGTTGAACCTTTCTATTGATAGAGCAGTTTCAAAACACTGCTTTTGTAGACTCTGCTTGTGGATATTTGGAGCTCTTTGAGGAATTCGTTGTAAATGGAATCTCTTCACATGCATACTAGACAGATGCATTTTCCGAAAGTTCACTGGGATGTGTGCAATTCAACTCACAGACTTGAAACTTTCTTTTGATAGAGCAGTGTGGAAACACGCTTTTTGTAGAATCCGCAAGAGTTCCTTTGGAGCGCTTTGTTGCCTACGGTGGAAAAAGAAATATCTTCAAATAAAAACTAGACAGAAGCATTCTCAGGAACTTCACTGAGATGTGTGCATTTAACTAACAGAGTTGAATCTGTCTTTAGATAGACCAGCATTTAAGCACTCCTTTTGTAGAATCTGCTTGTGGATACTTGGAACTCTTTGAAGAATTCGTTGGAAACGGGTATCTTCACATGAAAAGTAGACCCAAGCATTCTCAGAAACTTCTTCGTGATATGTGAATTCACCTCTTGGAGTGGAACCCTTCTTTTGATAGAGCGGTTTAGAGGCCGTCTTTTAAGAGTATCTGCCAGTTCTCATTTGGAGCGCTTTGAAGCCTATGGTGGAAAAGGAGACATATTCACATAAAAACTAGAAAGAAGCATTCTCAGGAACTGCTTTGTGATGTGTGCATTCAACTCACGGACTTGAACCTTCCCTTTGAGAGAGCGGTTTTGAAACAGTCTTTTTGTAGTATCTGAAATTGGATATTTAGAGCGACTTGAGTCCTATGATGGAAAAGGGAATATCCTCACATAAAAATTGGACAGAAGCATTTTCAGAAACTGCCTTGTGATGTGTGCATTCAACTCACAGAGTTGAACCTTCCTTTTGAGAGAGAACTTTCGAAACAGTCTTTTTGTAGTATTTGCAAGTGGATATTTGGAGCGATTTGAGGCCTATGATGGAAAAGGAAATAACTTGAGATACAAATTAGACAGA
>NC_000005.10:46569162-46624328 GCF_000001405.40 Homo sapiens
AGTATTCTCAGAAACTCCATTGTGATGTGTGCACTCAACTCACAGAGTTGAACCTTCCTTTTGAGAGAGCAGTTTTGAAACAGTCTTTTTGTAACGTCTGCAGGTGGATATTTGGAGCGATTCGAGTACTATGATGGAAAAGGAAATATCTTCACATACAAACTAAACTGAAGCATTCTCAGAAACTTCTTGTGATGTGTGCATTCACCTAACAGAGTGGAACCGTTCTTTTGATAGAGCAGTTTTGAATCAGTCTTTTGGTAGGACCTGCAAGTTTTCATTTGGAACGCTTTGAAGCCCATGGTGGAAAAGGGACTATCTTCACAAAAAACTAGGCAGAAGCCTTCTCAGGAACTTCATTGAGATGTGTGCATTCAACTAACAGAGTTGAAACTGTCTTTTGACAGAGGAGGAATGAAACACTCCTTTTGTAGTATCTGATTGTGTATATTTGGAACTCTTTGAGTTATTCATTGGAAACGGGTATCTTCACATAAAAAGTAGACCCAAGCATTCTCAGAAGGTTCTTTGTGATGTGTGCGTTGAACTCACAAACTTGAAACTTTCTTTTGATAGAGCAGTGTTGAAACACACTTTTTGTAGAATCCACAAGTATTCATTTGGAGCGCTTTGTTGCCTATGTGGGAAAAAGGAATATCTTCACTTAAAAACTAGACAGAAGCATTCTCTGAAACTCCTCTGTGAAGTGTGTGTTCAATTCACATCGTTGAACCTTTCTTTTGATAGAGCAGTGTTGAAACATACTTTTTGTAGAATCTGCAAGTGTCCATTTCGAGTTCTTTTGTGCGTATGTTGGAAAAAGTGATATCTTCACCTGAAAAATAGACAGAAGCATTCCAGAAACTGCTTTGTAACATGTGCATTCAACTCACAGTTTTGAACCTTCCTTTTGAGAGAGCGGTTTTGAAACAGTCTTTTTGTAGTATCTGCAAGTGGATATTTGCAGTGATTTGAGGCCGAAGAAGGAAAAGGAAATACCTTCAAATGAAAAACTAGACGGAAGCATTTTCAGAAACTGCCTTGTGATGTGTGCATTCAACTCACAGAGTTGAACATTCCTTTTGAGAGAGAAGTTTTGAAACAGTCTTTTTGTAGTATTTGCAAGTGGATATTTGGAGCGATTTGTGGAGTATGGTGGAAAATGAAATATCTTCACATACAAACTAGACAGAAGCATTGTCAGAAACTGCTTTGTGATGTGTGCATTTAAGTCACAGACTTGAAACTTCCTTTAGGTAGAGCAGTGTTGAAACACACTTTTTGTATAATCTACAAGTGTTCTTTGGAGTGCTTTGTTGCCTTTGTTGGAAAAAGAAATATCTTCACATAAAAACTAGACAGAAGCATTCTCAGAAACTCCTTTGTAATGGGTTTGTTCAATTCATATTGTTGAACCTTTCTTTTGATACAGCAGTGTTGAAACAAACATTTTGTAGAATCTGCAAGGGTTCATTTCAAATGCTTTGCGGCCTATGTTGGAAAAAGTGATATCTTCACCTAAAAAATAGACAGAAGCATTCTCAGGAACTGCTTTGTAATATGTGTATTCAACTCACAGAGCTGAACCTTCCTTTTGAGAGAGCGGTTTTGAAACAGTCTTTTTGTAGTATCTGCAAGTGGATATTTGGAGCGATTTGAGGTCTAAGAAGGAAAAGGAAACACCTTCAAATAAAAACTAGACAGAAGCTTTCTCAGAAACTGCTTTGTGATGTGTGCATTTAACTCAAAGTCTTGATCCTTTCTTTTGATAGAGCAGTGTTGAAACACACTTTTTGTAGAACCTGGTAGTGTTCATTTGGAGAGATTTGTTGCCTATGGTGGAAAAAGGATTATCTTCTCTTAAAAATTAGAGAGAAGCATTCTTAGAAACTGCTTTTGATGTGTGTGTTCAATTCACAGAGTTGAAACTTTCCTTTGATAGAGCAGGTTTGAAACACTTCTTTTGTAGAATCTGCTTGTGGATAGTGGGAGCTCTTTGAGGAATACGTTGTAAAAGGCATATCTTCACATACCAACTAGACACAAGCATTCTCAGAAACTGCTTTGTGATGTGTGCATACAACTCACAGTGTTGAACCTTCCATTTGAGAGAGCAGTGTTGAAACAGTCTTTTTGTAGTATCTTCAAGTGGATATTTGGAGCGATTTGAGGCCTATGATGGAAAAGGAAATATCTTCACATACAAACTAGACAGAATCTTTGTCAGAAATTTCTTTGTGATGTGTGCCTTCAACTCACAGAATTGAAAATTCCTTTTGAGAGAGTAGTTTTCAAAGCGTCTTTTTGTATTATCTGCAAGTGGATATTTGGAGAGATTTGACGCCTATGATGGAAAAGGGAAGATCTTCACATACAAACTAGACAGAAGCATTCTCAGAAACTTCTTTGTGATGTGTGCATTCAACCGACAGATTTGAACTTTCCTTTTGAGAGGGAGGTTTTGAAACAGTCGTTTTGTAGTATCTGCAAGTGGATATTTGTAGTGACTTGGGGCCTCAGATGGAAAAGGAAATACCTTCACATACAAACTAGACAGAAGTATTCTCAGAAACTCCATTGTGATGTGTGCACTCAACTCACAGAGTTGAACCTTCCTTTTGAGAGAGCAGTTTTGAAACAGTCTTTTTGTAACGTCTGCATGTGGATATTTGGAGCGATTCGAGTAGTATGATGGAAAAGGAAATATCTTCACATACAAACTAAACAGAAGCATTCTCAGAAACTTCTTGTGATGTGTGCATTCACCTAACAGAGTGGAACCGTTCTTTTGATAGAGCAGTTTTGAATCAGTCTTTTGGTAGGACCTGCAAGTTTTCATTTGGAGTGCTTTGAAGCCCATGGTGGAAAAGGGACTATCTTCACAAAAAACTAGGCAGAAGCCTTCTCTGGAACTTCATTGAGATGTGTGCATTCAACTAACAGAGTTGAAACTGTCTTTTGACAGAGGAGGAATGAAACACTCCTTTTGTAGTATCTGATTGTGTATATTTGGAACTCTTTGAGTTATTCGTTGGAAACGGGTATCTTCACATAAAAAGTAGACCCAAGCATTCTCAGAAGGTTCTTTGTGATGTGTGCGTTCAACTCACAGACTTGAAACTTTCCTTTGATAGAGCAGTGTTGAAACACACTTTTTGTAGAATCCACAAGTATTCGTTTGGAGCGCTTTGTTGCCTATGTGGGAAAAAGGAATATCTTCACTTAAAAACTAGACAGAAGCATTCTCTGAAACTCCTCTGTGAAGTGTGTGTTCAATTCACATCGTTGAACCTTTCTTTTGATAGAGCAGTGTTGAAACATACTTTTTGTAGAATCTGCAAGTGTCCATTTCGAGTTCTTTTGTGCGTATGCTGGAAAAAGTGATATCTTCACCTGAAAAATAGACAGAAGCATTCCAGAAACTGCTTTGTAACATGTGCATTCAACTCACAGTGTTGAACCTTCCTTTTGAGAGAGCGGTTTTGAAACAGTCTTTTTGTAGTATCTGCAAGTGGATATTTGCAGTGATTTGAGGCCGAAGAAGGAAAAGGAAATACCTTCAAATAAAAAACTAGACGGAAGCATTTTCAGAAACTGCCTTGTGATGTGTGCATTCAACTCACAGAGTTGAACCTTCCTTTTGAGAGAGAAGTTTTGAAACAGTCTTTTTGTAGTATTTGCAAGTGGATATTTGGAGCGATTTGTGGAGTATGGTGGAAAATGAAATATCTTCACATACAAACTAGACAGAAGCATTGTCAGAAACTGCTTTGTGATGTGTGCATTTAAGTCACAGACTTGAAACTTCCTTTAGGTAGAGCAGTGTTGAAACACACTTTTTGTATAATCTACAAGTGTTCTTTGGAGTGCTTTGTTGCCTATGTTGGAAAAAGAAATATCTTCACATAAAAACTAGACAGAAACATTCTCAGAAACTCCTTTGTGATGGGTTTGTTCAATTCACATTGTTGAACCTTTCTTTTGATACAGCAGTGTTGAAACAAACATTTTGTAGAATCTACAAGGGTTCATTTCAAATGCTTTGTGGCCTATGTTGGAAAAAGTGATATGTTCACCTAAAAAATAGACAGAAGCATTCACAGGAACTGCCTTGTAATATGTGCATTCAACTCACAGAGTTGAACCTTCCTTTTGAGAGAGCGATTTTGAAACAGTCTTTTTGTAGTATCTGCAAGTGGATATTTGGAGCGATTTGAGGTCTAAGAAGGAAAAGGAAGTACCTTCAAATGAAAACTAGACAGAAGCTTTCTCAGAAACTGCTTTGTGATGTGTGCATTTAACTCAAAGTCTTGATCCTTTCTTTTGACAGAGCAGTGTTGAAACACACTTTTGGTAGAACCTGCTAGTGTTCATTTGGAGAGATTTGTTGCCTATGGTGGAAAAAGAATTATCTTCTCTTAAAAACTAGAGAGAAGCATTCTTAGAAACTGCTTTGTGATGTGTGTGTTCAATTCACAGAGTTGAAACTTTCCTTTGACAGAGCAGGTTTGAAACACTGCTTCTGTAGAATCTGCTTGTGGATATTGGGAGCTCCGTGAGGAATACATTGTAAAAGGCATATCCTCACATACAAACTAAACAGAAGCATTCTCAGAAACTGCTTTGTGATGTGTGCATTCAACTCACAGAGTTGAACCTTCCATTTGAGAGAGCAGTGTTGAAACGATCTTTTTGTAGTATCTTCAATTGGATATTTGGAGCGATTTGAGGCCTATGATGGAAAAGGAAATATCTTCACATACAAACTAGACAGAAGCATTCTCAGAAACTGCTTTGTGATGTGTGCATTCAACCCACAGAGTTGAACCTTCCTTTTGAGAGAGCAGTGTTGAAACGGTCTTTTGTAGTATCTGCAAGTGGATATTTGGAGCGATTTGAAGCCTATGATGGAAAAGGAAATATCTTCACATACAAACTAGACAGAAGCAGTCTCAGGAACTGCTTTGTGATGTGTGCATTCAACTCACAGATTTGAACTTTCCTTTTGAGAGGGAGGTTTTGAAACAGTCTTTTTGTAGTATCAGCAAGTGGATATTTGTAGTGACTTGGGGCCTCAGATGGAAAAGGAAATACCTTCACATACAAAGTAGACAGAAGTATTCTCAGAAACTCCATTGTGATGTGTGCACTCAACTCACAGAGTTGAACCTTCCTTTTGAGAGAGCAGTTTTGAAACAGTCTTTTTGTAACGTCTGCAGGTGGATATTTGGAGCGATTCGTGTAGTATGATGGAAAAGGAAATATCTTCACATACAAACGAAACAGAAGCATTCTCAGAAACTTCTTGTGATGTGTGCGTTCACCTAACAGAGTGGAACCGTTCTTTTGATAGAGCCGTTTTGAATCAGTCTTTTGGTAGGACCTGCAAGTTTTCATTTGGAGCGCTTTGAAGCCCATGGTGGAAAAGGGACTATCTTCACAAAAAACTAGGCAGAAGCCTTCTCAGGAACTTCATTGAGATGTGTGCATTCAACTAACAGAGTTGAAACTGTCTTTTGACAGAGGAGGAATGAAACACTCCTTTTGTAGTATCTGATTGTGTATATTTGGAACTCTTTGAGTTATTCGTTGGAAACGGGTATCGTCACATAAAAAGTAGACCCAAGCATTCTCAGAAGGTTCTTTGTGATGTGTGCGTTCAACTCACAGACTTGAAACTTTCTTTTGATAGAGCAGTGTTGAAACACACTTTTTGTAGAATCCACAAGTATTCATTTGGAGCGCTTTGTTGCCTATGTGGGAAAAAGGAATATCTTCACTTAAAAACTAGACAGAAGCATTCTCTGAAACTCCTCTGTGAAGTGTGTGTTCAATTCACATCGTTGAACCTTTCTTTTGATAGAGCAGTGTTGAAACATACTTTTTGTAGAATCTGCAAGTGTCCATTTCGAGTTCTTTTGTGCGTATGTTGGAAAAAGTGATATCTTCACCTGAAAAATAGACAGAAGCATTCCAGAAACTGCTTTGTAACATGTGCATTCAACTCACAGTGTTGAACCTTCCTTTTGAGAGAGCGGTTTTGAAACAGTCTTTTTGTAGTATCTGCAAGTGGATATTTGCAGTGATTTGAGGCCGAAGAAGGAAAAGGAAATACCTTCAAATAAAAAACTAGACGGAAGCATTTTCAGAAACTGCCTTGTGATGTGTGCATTCAACTCACAGAGTTGAACCTTCCTTTTGAGAGAGAAGTTTTGAAACAGTCTTTTTGTGGTATTTGCAAGTGGATATTTGGAGCGATTTGTGGAGTATGGTGGAAAATGAAATATCTTCACATACAAACTAGACAGAAGCATTCTCAGAAACTGCTTTGTGATGTGTGCATTTAAGTCACAGACTTGAAACTTCCTTTAGGTAGAGCAGTGTTGAAACACACTTTTTGTATAATCTACAAGTGTTTTTTGGAGTGCTTTGTTGCCTATGTTGGAAAAAGAAATATCTTCACATAAAAACTAGACAGAAGCATTCTCAGAAACTCCTTTGTGATGGGTTTGTTCAATTCACATTGTTGAACCTTTCTTTTGATACAGCAGTGTTGAAACAAACATTTTGTAGAATCTGCAAGTGCTCATTTCAAAAGCTTTGTGGCCTATGTTGGAAAAAGTGATATCTTCACCTAAAAAATAGACAGAAGCATTCTCAGGAACTGCTTTGTAATATGTGCATTCAACTCACAGAGTTGAACCTTCCTTTTGAGAGAGCGGTTTTGAAACAGTCTTTTTGTAGTATCTTCAAGTGGATATTTGGAGCGATTTGAGGTCTAAGAAGGAAAAGGAAGTACCTTCAAATAAAAACTAGACAGAAGCTTTCTCAGAAACTGCTTTGTGATGTGTGCATTTAACTCAAAGTCTTGATCCTTTCTTTTGATTGAGCAGTGTTGAAACACACTTTTTGTAGAACCTGCTAGTGTTCATTTGGAGAGATTTGTTGCCTATGGTTGAAAAAGGATTATCTTGTCTTAAAAACTAGAGAGAGGCATTGTGAGAAACATCATTGTGATGTGTGTCTTCAATTCACAGAGTTGAAATTTTATTTTGATAGAGCAGTTTTGAAACACTGTTTTTGCAGAATCTGCTTGTGGATATTAAGAGATTTTTGAGAAATTCGTTGTAAACGGGATATCTTCACATACAAACTAGACAGAAGCATTCTCAGAAACTGCTTTGTGATGTGTGCATTCAACTCACAGAGTTGAACCTTCCATTTGAGAGAGCAGTGTTGAAACGGTCTTTTTGTAGTATCTTCAATTGGATATTTGGAGCGATTTGAGGCCTATGATGGAAAAGGAAATATCTTCACATACAAACTAGACAGAAGCATTCTCAGAAACTTCTTTGTGATGTGTGCATTCAACCCACAGAGTTGAACCTTCCTTTTGAGAGTGCAGTGTTCAAACGGTCTTTTGTAGTATCTGCAAGTGGATATTTGGAGCGATTTGAGGCCTATGATGGAAAAGGAAATATCTTCACATACAAACTAGACAGAAGCATTCTCAGAAACTGCTTTGTGATGTGTGCATTCAACCGACAGATTTGAACTTTCCTTTTGAGAGGGTGGTTTTGAAACAGTCTTTTTGTAGTATCTGCAAGTGGATATTTGTAGTGACTTGGGGCCTCAGGTGGAAAAGGAAATACCTTCACATACAAAGTAGACAGAAGTATTCTCACAAACTCCATTGTGATGTGTGCACTCAACTCACAGAGTTGAACCTTCCTTTTGAGAGAGCAGTTTTGAAACAGTCTTTTTGTAATGTCTGCAAGTGGATATTTGGAGCGATTCGAGTACTATGATGGAAAAGGAAATATCTTCACATACAAACTAAACGGAAGCATTCTCAGAAACTTCTTGTGATGTGTGCATTCACCTAACAGAGTGGAACCGTTCTTTTGAGAGAGCAGTTTTGAAGCAGTCTTTTTGTAGGACCTGCAAGTTTTCATTTGGAGCGCTTTGAAGCCTATGGTGGAAAAGGGAATATCTTCACAAAAAACTAGGCAGATGCCTTCTCAGGAACTTCATTGAGATGTGTGCATTCAACTAACAGAGTTGAAACTGTCTTTTGACAGAGCAGGAATGAAACACCCCTTTTGTAGTATCTGATTGTGTATATTTGGAACTCTTTGAGTTATTCGTTGGAAACGGGTATCTTCACATAAAAAGTAGACCCAAGCATTCTCAGAAGGTCCTTTGTGATGTGTGCGTTCAACTCACAGACTTCAAACTTTCTTTTGATAGAGCAGTGTTGAAACACAGTTTTTGTAGAATCCACAAGTATTCATTTGGAGCGCTTTGTTGCCTATGTGGGAAAAAGGAATATCTTCACTTAAAAACTAGACAGAAGCATTCTCTGAAACTCCTCTGTGAAGTGTGTGTTCAATTCACATCGTTGAACCTTTCTTTTGATGGAGCAGTGATGAAACATACTTTTTGTAGAATCTGCAAGTGTCCATTTCGAGTTCTTTTGTGCGTATGTTGGAAAAAGTGATATCTTCACCTGAAAAATAGACAGAAGCATTCCAGAAACTGCTTTGTAACATGTGCATTCAACTCACAGTGTTGAACCTTCCTTTTGAGAGAGCGGTTTTGAAACAGTCTTTTTGTAGTATCTGCAAGTGGATATTTGCAGTGATTTGAGGCCGAAGAAGGAAAAGGAAATACCTTCAAATAAAAAACTAGACGGAAGCATTTTCAGAAACTGCCTTGTGATGTGTGCATTCAACTCACAGAGTTGAACCTTCCTTTTGAGAGAGAAGTTTTGAAACAGTCTTTTTGTAGTATTTGCAAGTGGATATTTGGAGCGATTTGTGGAGTATGGTGGAAAATGAAATATCTTCACATACAAACTAGACAGAAGCATTCTCAGAAACTGCTTTCTGATGTGTGCATTTAAGTCACAGACTTGAAACTTCCTTTAGGTAGAGCAGTGTTGAAACACACTTTTTATATAATCTACAAGTGTTCTTTGGAGTGCTTTGTTGCCTATGTTGGAAAAAGAAATATCTTCACATAAAAACTAGACAGAAGCATTCTCAGAAACTCCTTTGTGATGGGTGTGTTCAATTCACATTGTTGAACCTTTCTTTTGATACAGCAGGGTTGAAACAAACATTTTGTAGAATCTGCAAGTGTTCATTTCAAATGCTTTGCGGCCTATGTTGGAAAAAGTGATATCTTCACGTAAAAAATAGACAGAAGCATTCTCAGGAACTGCTTTGTAATATGTGCATTCAACTCACAGAGTTGAACCTTCCTTTTGAGAGAGCGGCTTTGAAACAGTCTTTTTGTAGTATCTGCAAGCGGATATTTGGAGCGATTTGAGGTCTAAGAAGGAAAAGGAAATACCTTCAAATAAAAACTAGACAGAAGCTTTCTCAGAAACTGCTTTGTGATGTGTGCATTTAACTCAAAGTCTTGATCCTTACTTTTGTTAGAGCAGTGTTGAAACACACTTTTTGTAGAACCTGGTAGTGTTCATTTGGAGAGATTTGTTGCCTATGGTGGAAAAATGATTATCTTCTCTTAAAAACTAGACAGAAGCATTCTTAGAAACTACTTTGTGATGTGTGTGTTCAATTCACAGAGTTGAAACTTTCCTTTGATAGAGCAGGTTTGAAACACTGCTTTTGTAGAATCTGCTTGTGGATAGTGGGAGCTCTTTGAGGAATACGTTGTAAAAGGCATATCTTCACATACCAACTAGACAGAGGCATTCTCAGAAACTCCGTTGTGATGTGTGCATTCAACTCACAGTGTTGAACCTTCCATTTGAGAGAGCAGTGTTGAAACAGTCTTTTTGTAGTATCTGCAAGTGGATATTTGGAGCGATTTGAGGCCTATGATGGAAAAGGAAATATCTTCACATACAAACTAGACAGAAGCATTCTCAGAAACTACTTTGTGATGTGTGCATTCAACTCACAGAGTTGAACCTTCCATTTGAGAGAGCAGTGTTGAAACGGTATGTTTGAAGTATCTGCAAGTGGATATTTGGAGCGATTTGAGGCCTATGATGGAAAAGGAAATGTCTTCACATACAAACTAGACAGAAGCATTCTCAGAAACTGCTTTGTGATGTGTGCATTCAACCGACAGATTTGAACTTTCCTTTTGAGAGGGAGGTTTTGAAACAGTCTTTTTGTAGTATCTGCAAGTGGATATTTGTAGTGACTTGGGGCCTCAGGTGGAAAAGGAAATACCTTCACATACAAAGTAGACAGAAGTATTCTCAGAAACTCCATTGTGATGTGTGCACTCAACTCACAGAGTTGAACCTTCCTTTTGAGAGAGCAGTTTTGAAACAGTCTTTTTGTAACGTCTGCAGGTGGATATTTGGAGCGATTCGTGTAGTATGATGGAAAAGGAAATATCTTCACATACAAACTAAACAGAAGCATTCTCAGAAACTTCTTGTGATGTGTGCGTTCACCTAACAGAGTGGAACCGTTCTTTTGATAGAGCCGTTTTGAATCAGTCTTTTGGTAGGACCTGCAAGTTTTCATTTGGAGCGCTTTGAAGCCCATGGTGGAAAAGGGACTATCTTCACAAAAAACTAGGCAGAAGCCTTCTCAGGAACTTCATTGAGATGTGTGCATTCAACTAACAGAGTTGAAACTGTCTTTTGACAGAGGAGGAATGAAACACTCCTTTTGTAGTATCTGATTGTGTATATTTGGAACTCTTTGTGTTATTCGTTGGAAACAGGTATCTTCACATAAAAAGTAGACCCAAGCATTCTCAGAAGGTTCTTTGTGATGTGGGCGTTCAACTCACAGACTTGAAACTTTCTTTTGATAGAGCAGTGTTGAAACACACTTTTTGTAGAATCCAGAAGTATTCGTTTGGAGCGCTTTGTTGCCTATGTGGGAAAAAGGAATATCTTCACTTAAAAACTAGACAGAAGCATTCTCTGAAACTCCTCTGTGAAGTGTGTGTTCAATTCACATCGTTGAACCTTTCTTTTGATAGAGCAGTGTTGAAACATACTTTTTGTAGAATCTGCAAGTGTCCATTTCGAGTTCTTTTGTGCGTATGTTGGAAAAAGTGATATCTTCACCTGAAAAATAGACAGAAGCATTCCAGAAACTGCTTTGTAACATATGCATTCAACTCACAGTGTTGAACCTTCCTTTTGAGAGAGCGGTTTTGAAACAGTCTTTTTGTAGTATCTGCAAGTGGATATTTGCAGTGATTTGAGGCCGAAGAAGGAAAAGGAAATACCTTCAAATAAAAAACTAGACGGAAGCATTTTCAGAAACTACCTTGTGATGTGTGCATTCAACTCACAGAGTTGAACCTTCCTTTTGAGAGAGAAGTTTGGAAACAGTCTTTTTGTAGTATTTGCAAGTGGATATTTGGAGCGATTTGTGGAGTATGGTGGAAAATGAAATATCTTCACATACAAACTAGACAGAAGCATTCTCAGAAACTGATTTGTGATGTGTGCATTTAACTCACAGACTTGAAACTTCCTTTAGATAGAGCAGTGTTGAAACACACTTTTTGTATAATCTACAAGTGTTCTTTGGAGTGCTTTGTTGCCTATGTTGGAAAAAGAAATATCTTCACATAAAAACTAGACAGGAGGCATTCTCAGAAACTCCTTTGTGATGGGTGTGTTCAATTCACATTGTTGAACCTTTCTTTTGATACAGCAGTGTTGAAACAAACATTTTGTAGAATCTGCAAGTGTTCATTTCAAATGCTTTGTGGCCTATGTTGGAAAAAGTGATATCTTCACCTAAAAAATAGACAGAAGCATTCTCAGGAACTGCTTTGTAATATGTGCATTCAACTCACAGAGTTGAACCTTCCTTTTGAGAGAGCGGTTTTGAAACAATCTTTTTGTAGTATCTGCAAGTGGATATTTCGAGCGATTTGAGGTTTAAGAAGGAAAAGGAAGCATCTTCAAATAAAAACTAGACAGAATCTTTCTCAGAAACTGCTTTGTGATGTGCGCATTTAACTCAAAGTCTTGATCCTTACTTTTGTTAGAGCAGTGTTGAAACACACTTTTTGTAGAACCTGGTAGTGATCATTTGGAGAGATTTGTTGCCTATGGTGGAAAAAGGATTATCTTCTCTTAAAAACTAGACAGAAGCATTCTTAGAAACTGCTTTGTGATGTGTGTGTTCAATTCACAGAGTTGAAACTTTCCTTTGCTAGAGCAGTTTTGAAGAACTGCTTTTGTAGAATCTGCTTGTGGATATTGGGAGCTCCTTGAGGAATACGTTGTAAAAGGCATATCTTCACATACAAACTAGACAGAAGCATTCTCAGAAACTGCTTTGTGATGTGTGGATTCAACTCACAGAGTTGAACCGTCCATTTGAGAGAGCAGTGTTGAAACAGTCTTTTTGTAGTATCTGCAAGTGGATATTTGGAGCGATTTGAGGCCTATGATGGAAAAGGAAATATCTTCACATACAAACTAGACAGAAGCATTCTCAGAAACTCCGTTGTGATGTGTGCATTCAACTCACAGAGTTGAACCTTCCTTTTGAGAGAGCAGTGTTGAAACGGTCTTTTGTAGTATCTGCAAGTGGATATTTGGAGCGATTTGAGGCCTATGATGGAAAAGGAAATATCTTCACATACAAACTAGACAGAAGCATTCTCAGAAACTGCTTTGTGATGTGTGCATTCAACCGACAGATTTAAACTTTCCTTTTGAGAGGGAGGTTTTGAAACAGTCTTTTTGTAGTATCTGCAAGTGGATATTTGTAGTGACTTGGGGTCTCAGATGGAAAAGGAAATACCTTCACATACAAACTAGACAGAAGTATTCTCAGAAACTCCATTGTGATGTGTGCACTCAACTCACAGAGTTGAACCTTCCTTTTGAGAGAGCAGTTTTGAAACAGTCTTTTTGTAATGTCTGCAGGTGGATATTTGGAGCGATTCGAGTACTATGATGGAAAAGGAAATATCTTCACATACAAACTAAACAGAAGCATTCTCAGAAACTTCTTGTGATGTGTGCATTCACCTAACAGAGTGGAACCGTTCTTTTGATAGAGCAGTTTTGAATCAGTCTTTTGGTAGGGCCTGCAAGTTTTCATTTGGAGCGCTTTGAAGCCCATGGTGGAAAAGGGAATATCTTCACAAAAAACTAGGCAGAAGCCTTCTCAGGAACTTCATTGAGATGTGTGCATTCAACTAACAGAGTTGAAACTGTCTTTTGACAGAGCAGGAATGAAACACTCCTTTCGTAGTATCTGATTGTGTATATTTGGAACTCTTTGAGTTATTCGTTGGAAACGGGTATCTTCACATAAAAAGTAGACCCAAGCATTCTCAGAAGGTTCTTTGTGATGTGTGCGTTCAACTCACAGACTTGAAACTTTCTTTTGATAGAGCAGTGTTGAAACACACTTTTTGTAGAATCCACAAGTATTCATTTGGAGCGCTTTGTTGCCTATGTGGGAAAAAGGAATATCTTCACTTAAAAACTAGACAGAAGCGTTCTCTGAAACTCCTCTGTGAAGTGTGTGTTCAATTCACATCGTTGAACCTTTCTTTTGATAGAGCAGTGTTGAAACATACTTTTTGTAGAATCTGCAAGTGTCCATTTCGAGTTCTTTTCTGCGTATGTTGGAAAAAGTGATATCTTCACCTGAAAAATAGACAGAAGCATTCCAGAAACTGCTTTGTAACATGTGCATTCAACTCACAGTGTTGAACCTTCCTTTTGAGAGAGCGGTTTTGAAACAGTCTTTCTGTAGTATCTGCAAGTGGATATTTGCAGTGATTTGAGGCCGAAGAAGGAAAAGGAAATACCTTCAAATAAAAAACTAGACGGAAGCATTTTCGGAAACTGCCTTGTGATGTGTGCATTCAACTCACAGAGTTGAACCTTCCTTTTGAGAGAGAAGTTTTGAAACAGTCTTTTTGTAGTATTTGCAAGTGGATATTTGGAGTGATTTGTGGAGTATGGTGGAAAATGAAATATCTTCACATACAAGCTAGACAGAAGCATTCTCAGAAACTGCTTTGTGATGTGTGCTTTTAAGTCACAGACTTGAAACTTCCTTTAGGTAGAGCAGTGTTGAAACACACTTTTTGTATAATCTACAAGTGTTCTTTGGAGTGCTTTGTTGCCTATGTTGGAAAAAGAAATATCTTCACATAGAAACTAGACAGAAGCATTCTGAGAAACTCCTTTGTGATGGGTGTGTTCAATTCACATTGTTGAACCTTTCTTTTGATACAGCAGTGTTGAAACAAACATTTTGTAGAATCTGCAAGTGTTCATTTCAAATGCTTTGTGGCCTATGTTGGAAAAAGTGATATCTTCACCTAAAAAATAGACAGAAGCATTCTCAGGAACTGCTTTGTAATATGTGCATTCAACTCACAGAGTTGAACCTTCCTTTTGAGAGAGCGGTTTTGAAACAGTCTTTTTGTAGTATCTGCAAGTGGATATTTGGAGCGATTTGAGGTCTAAGAAGGAAAAGGAAGTACCTTCAAATAAAAACTAGACAGAAGCTTTCTCAGAAACTGCTTTGTGATGTGTGCATTTAACTCAAAGTCTTGATCCTTACTTTTGTTAGAGCAGTGTTGAAACACACTTTTTGTAGAACCTGGTAGTGTTCATTTGGAGAGATTTGTTGTCTATGGTGGAAATAGGATTATCTTCTCTTAAAAACTAGACAGAAGCATTCTTAGAAACTGCTTTGTGATGTGTGTGTTCAATTCACAGAGTTGAAACTTTCCTTTGACAGAGCAGGTTTGAAACACTGCTTGTGTAGAATCTGCTGGTGGATATTGGGAGCTCCTTGAGGAATACGTTGTAAAAGGCATATCTTCACATACAAACTAGACAGAAGCATTCTCAGAAACTGCTTTGTGATGTGTGCATTCAACTCACAGAGTTGAACCTTCCATTTGAGAGAGCAGTGTTGAAACAGTCTTTTTGTAGTATCTTCAAGTGGATATTTGGAGCGATTTGAGGCCTATGATGGAAAAGGAAATATCTTCACATACAAATTAGACAGAAGCATTCTCAGAAACTGCTTCGTGATGTGTGCATTCAACCCACAGAGTTGAACCTTCCTTTTGAGAGAGCAGTGTTGAAACGGTCTTTTGTAATATCTGCAAGTGGATATTTGGAGCGATTTGAGGCCTATGATGGAAAAGGAAATATCTTCACATACAAACTAGACAGAAGCATTCTCAGAAACTGCTTTGTGATGTGTGCATTCAACCGACAGATTTGAACTGTCCTTTTGAGAGGGAGGTTTTGAAACAGTCTTTTTGTAGTATCTGCAAGTGGATATTTGTAGTGACTTGGGGCCTCAGGTGGAAAAGGAAATACCTTCACATACAAAGTAGACAGAAGTATTCTCAGAAACTCCATTGTGATGTGTGCACTGAACTCACAGAGTTGAACCTTCCTTTTGAGAGAGCAGTTTTGAAACAGTCTTTTTGTAACGTCTGCAGGTGGATATTTGGAGCGATTCGTGTAGTATGATGGAAAAGGAAATATCTTCACATACAAACTAAACAGAAGCATTCTCAGAAACTTCTTGTGATGTGTGCGTTCACCTAACAGAGTGGAACCGTTCTTTTGATAGAGCAGTTTTGAATCAGTCTTTTGGTAGGACCTGCAGGTTTTCATTTGGAGCGCTTTGAAGCCCATGGTGGAAAAGGGACTATCTTCACAAAAAACTAGGCAGAAGCCTTCTCAGGAACTTCATTGAGATGTGTGCATTCAACTAACAGAGTTGAAACTGTCTTTTGACAGAGCAGTAATGAATCACTCCTTTCGTAGTATCTGATAGTGTATATTTGGAACTCTTTGAGTTATTCGTTGGAAACGGGTATCTTCACATAAAAAGTAGACCCAAGCATTCTCAGAAGGTCCTTTGTGATGTGTGCGTTCAACTCACAGACTTGAAACTTTCTTTTGATAGAGCAGTGTTGAAACACAGTTTTTGTAGAATCCACAAGTATTCATTTGGAGCGCTTTGTTGCCTATGTGGGAAAAAGGAATATCTTCACTTAAAAACTAGACAGAAGCATTCTCTGAAACTCCTCTGTGAAGTGTGTGTTCAATTCACATCGTTGAAACTTTCTTTTGATGGAGCAGTGTTGAAACATACTTTTTGTAGAATCTGCAAGTGTCCATTTCGAGTTCTTTTGTGCGTATGTTGGAAAAAGTGATATCTTCACCTGAAAAATAGACAGAAGCATTCCAGAAACTGCTTTGTAACATGTGCATTCAACTCACAGTGTTGAACCTTCCTTTTGAGAGAGCGGTTTTGAAACAGTCTTTTTGTAGTATCTGCAAGTGGATATTTGCAGTGATTTGAGGCTGAAGAAGCAAAAGGAAATACCTTCAAATAAAAAACTAGACGGAAGCATTTTCAGAAACTGCCTTGCGATGTGTGCATTCAACTCACAGAGTTGAACCTTCCTTTTGAGAGAGAAGTTTTGAAACAGTCTTTTTGTAGTATTTGCAAGTGGATATTTGGAGCGATTTGTGGAGTATGGTGGAAAATGAAATATCTTCACATACAAACTAGACAGAAGCATTCTCAGAAACTGCTTTGTGATGTGTGCATTTAAGTCACAGACTTGAAACTTCCTTTAGGTAGAGCAGTGTTGAAACACACTTTTTGTATAATCTACAAGTGTTCTTTGGAGTGCTGTGTTGCCTATGTTGGAAAAAGAACTATCTTCACATAAAAACTAGACAGAAGCATTCTCAGAAACTCCTTTGTGATGGGTGTGTTCAATTCACATTGTTGAACCTTTCTTTTGATACAGCAGTGTTGAAACAAACATTTTGTGGAATCTGCAAGGGATCATTTCAAATGCTTTGTGGCCTATGTTGGAAAAAGTGATATGTTCACCTAAAAAATAGACAGAAGCATTCTCAGGAACTGCTTTGTAATATGTGCATTCAACTCACAGAGTTGAACCTTCCTTTTGAGAGAGCGGTTTTGAAACAGTCTTTTTGTAGTATCTGCAAGTGGATATTTGGAGCGATTTGAGGTCTAAGAAGGAAAAGGAAGTACCTTCAAATAAAAACTAGACAGAAGCTTTCTCAGAAACTGCTTTGTGATGTGTGCATTTAACTCAAAGTCTTGATCCTTACTTTTGTTAGAGCAGTGTTGAAACACACTTTTTGTAGAACCTGGTAGTGTTCATTTGGAGAGATTTGTTGCCTATGGTGGAAAAAGGATTATCTTCTCTTAAAAACTAGACAGAAGCATTCTTAGAAACTGCTTTGTGATGTGTGTGTTCAATTCACAGAGTTGAAACTTTCCTTTGACATAGCAGGTTTGAAACACTGCTTCTGTAGAATCTGCTTGTGGATATTGGGAGCTCCTTGAGGAATACGTTGTAAAAGGCATATCTTCACATACAAACTAAACAGAAGCATTCTCAGAAACTGCTTTGTGATGTGTGCATTCAACTCACAGAGTTGAACCTTCCATTTGAGAGAGCAGTGTTGAAACGATCTTTTTGTAGTATCTTCAATTGGATATTTGGAGCGATTTGAGGCCTATGATGGAAAAGGAAATATCTTCACATACAAACTAGACAGAAGCATTCTCAGAAACTGCTTTGTGATGTGTGCATTCAACCCACAGAGTTGAACCTTCCTTTTGAGAGAGCAGTGTTGAAACGGTCTTTTGTAGTATCTGCAAGTGGATATTTGGAGCGATTTGAAGCCTATGATGGAAAAGGAAATATCTTCACATACAAACTAGACAGAAGCATTCTCAGAAAGTGCTTTGTGATGTGTGCATTCAACCGACAGATTTGAACTTTCCTTTGGAGAGGGAGGTTTTGAAACAGTCTTTTTGTAGTATCTGCAAGTGGATATTTGTAGTGACTTGGGGCCTCAGGTGGAAAAGGAAATACTTTCACATACAAAGTAGACAGAAGTATTCTCAGAAACTCCATTGTGATGTGTGCACTCAACTCACAGAGTTGAACCTTCCTTTTGAGAGAGCAGTTTTGAAACAGTCTTTTTGTAACGTCTGCAGGTGGATATTTGGAGCGATTCGTGTAGTATGATGGAAAAGGAAATATCTTCACATACAAACGAAACAGAAGCATTCTCAGAAACTTCTTGTGATGTGTGCGTTCACCTAACAGAGTGGAACCGTTCTTTTGATAGAGCCGTTTTGAATCAGTCTTTTGGTAGGACCTGCAAGTTTTCATTTGGAGCGCTTTGAAGCCCATGGTGGAAAAGGGACTATCTTCACAAAAAACTAGGCAGAAGCCCTCTCAGGAACTTCATTGAGATGTGTGCATTCAACTAAGAGAGTTGAAACTGTCTTTTGACAGAGGAGGAATGAAACACTCCTTTTGTAGTATCTGATTGTGTATATTTGGAACTCTTTGAGTTATTCGTTGGAAACGGGTATCTTCACATAAAAAGTAGACCCAAGCATTCTCAGAAGGTTCTTTGTGATGTGGGCGTTCAACTCACAGACTTGAAACTTTCTTTTGATAGAGCAGTGTTGAAACACACTTTTTGTAGAATCCAGAAGTATTCGTTTGGAGCGCTTTGTTGCCTATGTGGGAAAAAGGAATATCTTCACTTAAAAACTAGACAGAAGCATTCTCTGAAACTCCTCTGTGAAGTGTGTGTTCAATTCACATCGTTGAACATTTCTTTTGATAGAGCAGTGTTGAAACATACTTTTTGTAGAATCTGCAAGTGTCCATTTCGAGTTCTTTTGTGCGTATGTTGGAAAAAGTGATATCTTCACCTGAAAAATAGACAGAAGCATTCCAGAAACTGCTTTGTAACATGTGCATTCAACTCACAGTGTTGAACCTTCCTTTTGAGAGAGCGGTTTTGAAACAGTCTTTTTGTAGTATCTGCAAGTGGATATTTGCAGTGATTTGAGGCCGAAGAAGGAAAAGGAAATACCTTCAAATAAAAAACTAGACGGAAGCATTTTCAAAAACTGCCTTGTGATGTGTGCATTCAACTCACAGAGTTGAACCTTCCTTTGAGAGAGAAGTTTTGAAACAGTCTTTTTGTAGTATTTGCAAGTGGATATTTGGAGCGATTTGTGGAGTATGGTGGAAAATGAAATATCTTCACATACAAACTAGACAGAAGCATTGTCAGAAACTGCTTTGTGATGTGTGCATTTAAGTCACAGACTTGAAACTTCCTTTAGGTAGAGCAGTGTTGAAACACACTTTTTGTATAATCTACAAGTGTTCTTTGGAGTGCTTTGTTGCCTATGTTGGAAAAAGAAATATCTTCACATAAAAACTAGACAGAAGCATTCTCAGAAACTCCTTTGTGATGGGTGTGTTCAATTCACATTGTTGAACCTTTCTTTTGATACAGCAGTGTTGAAACAAACATTTTGTAGAATCTGCAAGTGTTCATTTCAAATGCTTTGCGGCCTATGTTGGAAAAAGTGATATCTTCACCTAAAAAATAGACAGAAGCATTCTCAGGAACTGCTTTGTAATATGTGCATTCAACTCACAGAGTTGAACCTTCCTTTTGAGAGAGCGGTTTTGAAACAGTCTTTTTGTAGTATCTGCAAGTGGATATTTGGAGCGATTTGAGGTCTAAGAAGGAAAAGGAAGTACCTTCAAATAAAAACTAGACAGAAGCTTTCTCAGAAACTGCTTTGTGATGTGTGCATTTAACTCAAAGTCTTGATCCTTACTTTTGTTAGAGCAGTGTTGAAACACACTTTTTGTAGAACCTGGTAGTGTTCATTTGGAGAGATTTGTTGCCTATGGTGGAAAAAGGATTATCTTCTCTTAAAAACTAGACAGAAGCATTCTTAGAAACTGCTTTGTGATGTGTGTGTTCAATTCATAGAGTTGAAACTTTCCTTTGACAGAGCTGGTTTGAAACACTGCTTCTGTAGAATCTGCTTTTGGATATTGGGAGCTCCTTGAGGAATACGTTGTAAAAGGCATATCTTCACATACAAACTAGACAGAAGCATTCTCAGAAACTGCTTTGTGATGTGTGCATTCAACTCACAGAGTTGAACCTTCCATTTGAGAGAGCAGTGTTGAAACAGTCCTTTTGTAGTATCTGCAAGTGGATATTTGGAGCGATTTGAGGCCTATGATGGAAAAGGAAATATCTTCACATACAAACTAGACAGAAGCATTCTCAGAAAGTGCTTTGTGATGTGTGCATTCAACCCACAGAGTTGAACCTTCCTTTTGAGAGAGCAGTGTTGAAACGGTCTTTTGTAGTATCTGCAAGTGGATATTTGGAGCGATTTGAGGCCTATGATGGAAAAGGAAATATCTTCACATACAAACTAGACAGAAGCATTCTCAGAAACTGCTTTGTGATGTGTGCATTCAACCGACAGATTTGAACTTTCCTTTTGAAGGGGAGGTTTTGAAACAGTCTTTTTGTAGTATCTGCAAGTGGATATTTGTGGTGACTTGGGGCCTCAGGTGGAAAAGGAAATACCTTCACATAGAAAGTAGACAGAAGTATTCTCAGAAACTCCATTGTGGTGTGTGCACTCAACTCACAGAGTTGAACCTTCCTTTTGAGAGAGCATTTTTGAAACAGTCTTTTTGTAACGTCTGCAGGTGGATATTTGGAGCGATTCGTGTAGTATGATGGAAAAGGAAATATCTTCACATACAAACTAAACAGAAGCATTCTCAGAAACTTCTTGTGATGTGTGCATTCACCTAACAGAGTGGAACCGTTCTTTTGATAGAGCAGTTTTGAATCAGTCTTTTGGTAGGACCTGCAAGTTTTCATTTGGAGCGCTTTGAAGCCCATGGTGGAATAGGGACTATCTTCACAAAAAACTAGGCAGAAGCCTTCTCAGGGACTTCATTGAGATGTGTGCATTCAACTAACAGAGTTGAAACTGTCTTTTGACAGAGGAGGAATGAAACACTCCTTTTGTAGTATCTGATTGTGTATATTTGGAACTCTTTGAGTTATTCGTTGGAAACGGGTATCTTCACATAAAAAGTAGACCCAAGCATTCTCAGAAAGTTCTTTTTGATGTGTGCATTCAACTCACAGACTGGAAACTTTCTTTTGATAGAGCAGTGTTGAAACACACTTTTTGTAGAATCCACAAGTATTTATTTGGAGCGCTTTGTTGCCTATGTGGGAAAAGGTGATATCTTCACATTAAAACTAGACTGAAGCATTCTCTGAAACTCCTTTGTGATGTGTGTGTTCAATTCATATCGTTGAACCTTTCTTTTGATAGAGCAGTGTTGAAACATACTTTTTGTAGAATCTGCAAGTGTCCATTTTGAGTTCTTTTTTGCGTATGTTCGAAAAAGTGATATCTTCACCTGAAAAATAGACAGAAGCATTCTCAGAAACTGCTTTGTAACATGTGCATTCAACTCACAGAGTTGAACCTTCCTTTTGAGAGAGCGGTTTTGAAACAGTCTTTTTGTAGTATCTGCAAGTGGATATTTGCAGTGATTTGAGGCCGAAGAAGCAAAAGGAAATACCTTCAAATAAAAAAACTAGACGGAAGCATTTTCAGAAACTGCCTTGTGATGTGTGCATTCAACTCACAGAGTTGAACCTTCCTTTTGAGAGAGAAGTTTTGAAACAGTCTTTTGGTAGTATTTGGAAGTGGATATGTGGAGCGATTTGAGGCCTATGATGGAAAAGGAAATAACTTCAGATACAAACTAGACAGAAGCATTCTCAGAAACTGCTTTGTGATGTGTGTATTTAAGTCACAATCTTGAAACTTCCTTTAGGTAGAGCAGTGTTGAAACACACTTTTTTTATAATCTACAAGTGTTCTTTGGAGTGCTTTGTTGCCTATGTTGGAAAAAGAAATATCTTCACATAAAAACTAGACAGAAGCATTCTCAGAAACTCCTTTGTGATGGGTTTGTTCATTTCACATTGTTGAACCTTTCTTTTGATACAGCAGTGTTGAAACAAACATTTTGTAGAATCTGCAAGTGCTCATTTCAAATGCTTTGTGGCCTATGTTGGAAAAAGTGATATCTTCACCTAAACAGTAGACAGAAGCATTCTCAGGAACTGCTTTGTAATATGTGCATTCAACTCACAGAGTTGAACCTTCCTTTTGAGAGAGCGGTTTTGAAACAGTCTTTTTGTAGTATCTGCAAGTGGATATTTGGAGCGATTTGAGGTCTAAGAAGGAAAAGGAAGTACCTTCAAATAAAAACTAGACAGAAGCTTTCTCAGAAACTGCTTTGTGATGTGTGCATTTAACTCAAAGTCTTGATCCTTACTTTTGTTAGAGCAGTGTTGAAACACACTTTTTGTAGAACCTGGTAGTGTTCATTTGGAGAGATTTGTTGCCTATGGTGGAAAAAGGATTATCTTCTCTTAAAAACTAGACAGAAGCATTCTTAGAAACTGCTTTGTGATGTGTGTGTTCAATTCACAGAGTTGAAACTTTCCTTTGACTGAGCAGGTTTGAAACACTGCTTCTGTAGAATCTGCTTGTGGATATTGGGAGCTCCTTGAGGAATACGTTGTAAAAGGCATATCTTCACATACAAACTAGACAGAAGCATTCTCAGAAACTGCTTTGTGATGTGTGCATTCAACTCACAGAGTTGAACCTTCCATTTGAGAGAGCAGTGTTGAAACGGTCTTTTTGTAGTATCTTCAAGTGGATATTTGGAGCGATTTGAGGCCTATGATGGAAAAGGAAATATCTTCACATACAAACTAGACAGAAGCATTCTCAGAAACTGCTTTGTGATGTGTGCATTCAACCCACAGAGTTGAACCTTCCTTTTGAGAGAGCAGTGTTGAAACGGTCTTTTGTAGTATCTGCAAGTGGATATTTGGAGCGATTTGAGGCCTAAGATGGAAAAGGAAATATCTTCACATACAGACTAGACAGAAGCATTCTCAGAAACTGCTTTGTGATGTGTGCATTCAACCGACAGATTTGAACTTTCCTTTTGAGAGGGAGGTTTTGAAACAGTCTTTTTGTAGTATCTGCAAGTGGATATTTGTAGTGACTTGGGGCCTCAGATGGAAAAGGAAATACCTTCAGATACAAACTAGACAGAAGTATTCTCAGAAACTCCATTGTGATGTGTGCACTGAACTCACAGAGTTGAACCTTCCTTTTGACAGAGCAGTTTTGAAACAGTCTTTTTGTAACGTCTGCAAGTGGATATTTGGAGCGATTCGAGTACTATGATGGAAAAGGAAATATCTTCACATACAAACTAAACAGAAGCATTCTCAGAAACTTCTTGTGATGTGTGCATTCACCTAACAGAGTGGAACCGTTCTTTTGATAGAGCAGTTTTGAATCAGTCTTTTGGTAGGACCTGCAAGTTTTCATTTGGAGTGCTTTGAAGCCCATGGTGGAAAAGGGACTATCTTCACAAAAAACTAGGCAGAAGCCTTCTCAGGAACTTCATTGAGATGTGTGCATTCAACTAACAGAGTTGAAACTGTCTTTTGACAGAGGAGGAATGAAACACTCCTTTTGTAGTATCTGATTGTGTGTATTTGGAACTCTTTGAGTTATTCGTTGGAAACGGGTATCTTCACATAAAAAGTAGACCCAAGCATTCTCAGAAAGGTTCTTTGTGATGTGTGCGTTCAACTCACAGGACTTGAAACTTTCTTTTGATAGAGCAGTGTTGAAACACACTTTTTGTAGAATCCACAAGTATTCGTTTGGAGCGCTTTGTTGCCTATGTGGGAAAAAGGAATATCTTCACTTAAAAACTAGACAGAAGCATTCTCTGAAACTCCTCTGTGAAGTGTGTGTTCAATTCACATCGTTGAACCTTTCTTTTGATAGAGCAGTGTTGAAACATACTTTTTGTAGAATCTGCAAGTGTCCATTTCGAGTTCTTTTGTGCGTATGTTGGAAAAAGTGATATCTTCACCTGAAAAATAGACAGAAGCATTCCAGAAACTGCTTTGTAACATGTGCATTCAACTCACAGTGTTGAACCTTCCTTTTGAGAGAGCGGTTTTGAAACAGTCTTTTTGTAGTATCTGCAAGTGGATATTTGCAGTGATTTGAGGCCGAAGAAGGAAAAGGAAATACCTTCAAATAAAAAACTAGACGGAAGCATTTTCAGAAACTGCCTTGTGATGTGTGCATTCAACTCACAGAGTTGAACCTTCCTTTTGAGAGAGAAGTTTTGAAACAGTCTTTTTGTAGTATTTGCAAGTGGATATTTGCAGCGATTGGTGGAGTATGGTTTAAAATGAAATATCTCCACATACAAACTAGACAGAAGCATTCTCAGAAACTACTTTGTGATGTGTGCATTTAACTCACGGACTTGAAACTTCCTTTAGATAGAGCAGTGTTGAAACACACTTTTTGTATAATCTACAAGTGTTCTTTGGAGTGCTTTGTTGCCTATGTTGGAAAAAGAAATATCTTCACATAAAAACTAGACAGAAGCATTCTCAGAAACTCCTTTGTGATGGGTTTGTTCAATTCACATTGTTGAACCTTTCTTTTGATAAAGCAGTGTTGAAACAAACATTTTGTAGAATCTGCAAGTGCTCATTTCAAATGCTTTGTGGCCTATGTTGGAAAAAGTGATACCTTCACCTAAAAAACAGGCAGAAGCATTCTCAGGAACTGCTTTGTAATATGTGCATTCAACTCACAGAGTTGAACCTTCCTTTTGAGA
This sequence comes from Homo sapiens, assembly GCF_000001405.40. Lineage (NCBI taxonomy): Eukaryota > Metazoa > Chordata > Mammalia > Primates > Hominidae > Homo > Homo sapiens. The sequence goes on from NC_000005.10 coordinate 46,593,790, forward strand.
GAGCAGTTTTGAAACAGTCTTTTTGTAGTATCTGCAAGTGGATATTTGGAGCGATTTGAGGTCTAAGAAGGAAAAGGAAGTACCTTCAAATAAAAACTAGACAGAAGCTTTCTCAGAAACTGCTTTGTGATGTGTGCATTTAACTCAAAGTCTTGATCCTTACTTTTGTTAGAGCAGTGTTGAAACACACTTTTTGTAGAACCTGGTAGTGTTCATTTGGAGAGATTTGTTGCCTATGGTGGAAAAAGGATTATCTTCTCTTAAAAACTAGACAGAAGCATTCTTAGAAACTGCTTTGTGATGTGGGCATTCAACCCACAGAGTTGAACCTTCCTTTTGAGAGAGCAGTGTTGAAACGGTCTTTTGTAGCATCTGCAAGTGGATATTTGGAGCGATTTGAGGCCTATGATGGAAAAGGAAATATCTTCACATACAAACTAGACAGAAGCATTCTCAGAAACTGCTTTGTGATGTGTGCATTCAACTCACAGAGTTGAACCTTCCTTTTCAGAGAGAGCAGTTTTGAAACAGTCTTTTTGTAGTATCTGCAAGCAGATATTTGGAGCGATTTGAGGCCTATGATGGAAAAGGAAATATCTTCACATAAAAACTAGACAGAAGCATTCTCAGAAACTGCTTTGTGATGTGTGCATTCAACCCACAGAGTTGAACCTTCCTTTTGAGAGAGCAGTGTTGAAACGGTCTTTTGTAGTATCTGCAAGTGGATATTTGGAGCGATTTGAAGCCTATGATGGAAAAGGAAATATCTTCACATACAAACTAGACAGAAGCATTCTCAGAAACTGCTTTGTGATGTGTGCATTCAACCGACAGATTTGAACTTTCCTTTGGAGAGGGAGGTTTTGAAACAGTCTTTTTGTAGTATCTGCAAGTGGATATTTGTAGTGACTTGGGGCCTCAGGTGGAAAAGGAAATACCTTCACATACAAAGTAGACAGAAGTATTCTCAGAAACTCCATTGTGATGTGTGCACTCAACTCACAGAGTTGAACCTTCCTTTTGAGAGAGCAGTTTTGAAACAGTCTTTTTGTAATGTCTGCAAGTGGATATTTGGAGCGATTCGAGTACTATGATGGAAAAGGAAGTATCTTCACATACAAACTAAACAGAAGCATTCTCAGAAACGTCTTCTGATGTGCGCGTTCACCTAACAGAGTTGAACCGTTCTTTTGATAGAGCAGTTTTGAATCAGTCTTTTGGTAGGTCCTGCAAGTTTTCATTTGGAGCGCTTTGAAGCCTATGGTGGAAAAGGGAATATCTTCGCAAAAAACTAGGCAGAAGCCTTCTCAGGAACTTCACTGAGATGTGTGCATTCAACTAACAGAGTTGAAACTGTCTTTTGACAGAGGAGGAATGAAACACTCCTTTTGTAGTATCTGATTGTGTGTATTTGGAACTCTTTGAGTTATTCGTTGGAAACGGGTATCTTCACATAAAAAGTAGACCCAAGCATTCTCAGAAGGTTGTTTGTGATGTGTGCGTTCAACTCACAGACTTGAAAATTTCTTTTGATAGAGCAGTGTTGAAACACACTTTTTGTAGAACCTGCTAGTGTTCATTTGGAGAGATTTGTTGCCTATGGTGGAAAAAGAATTATCTTCTCTTAAAAACTAGAGAGAAGCATTCTCTGAAACTCCTCTGTGAAGTGTGTGTTCAATTCACATCGTTGAACCTTTCTTTTGATAGAGCAGTGTTGAAACATACTTTTTGTAGAATCTGCAAGTGTCCATTTCGAGTTCTTTTGTGCGTATGCTGGAAAAAGTGATATCTTCACCTGAAAAATAGACAGAAGCATTCCAGAAACTGCTTTGTAACATGTGCATTCAACTCACAGTGTTGAACCTTCCTTTTGAGAGAGCGGTTTTGAAACAGTCTTTTTGTAGTATCTGCAAGTGGATATTTGCAGTGATTTGAGGCCGAAGAAGGAAAAGGAAATACCTTCAAATAAAAAACTAGACGGAAGCATTTTCAGAAACTGCCTTGTGATGTGTGCATTCAACTCACAGAGTTGAACCTTCCTTTTGAGAGAGAAGTTTTGAAACAGTCTTTTTGTAGTATTTGCAAGTGGATATTTGGAGCGATTTGTGGAGTATGGTGGAAAATGAAATATCTTCACATACAAACTAGACAGAAGCATTGTCAGAAACTGCTTTGTGATGTGTGCATTTAAGTCACAGACTTGAAACTTCCTTTAGGTAGAGCAGTGTTGAAACACACTTTTTGTATAATCTACAAGTGTTACTTTGGAGTGCTTTGTTGCCTATGTTGGAAAAAGAAATATCTTCACATAAAAACTAGACAGAAGCATTCTCAGAAACTCCTTTGTGATGGGTTTGTTCAATTCACATTGTTGAACCTTTCTTTTGATACAGCAGTGTTGAAACAAACATTTTGTAGAATCTGCAAGGGTTCATTTCAAATGCTTTGTGGCCTATGTTGGAAAAAGTGATATCTTCACCTAAAAAATAGACAGAAGCATTCTCAGAAACTGCTTTGTGATGTGTGCATTCAACTCACAGAATTGAACCTTCCTTTTGAGAGAGCAGTTTTGAAACAGTCTTTTTGTAGTATCTGCAAGTGGATATTTGGAGCGATGTGAAGCCTATGATGGCAAAGGAAATATCTTCACGTACAAACTAGACAGAAGCTTTCTCAGAAACTGCTTTGTGATGTGCGCATTTAACTCAAAGTCTTGATCCTTACTTTTGTTAGAGCAGTGTTGAAACACACTTTTTGTAGAAACTGGTAGTGTTCATTTGGAGAGACTTTTTGCCTATGGTGGAAAAAGGATTATCTTCTCTTAAAAACTAGACAGAAGCATTCTTAGAAACTGCTTTGTGATGTGTGCATTCAACTCACAGAGTTGAACCTTCCATTTGAGAGAGCAGTGTTGAAACAGTCTTTTTGTAGTATCTGCAAGTGGATATTTGGAGCGATTTGAGGCCTATGATGGAAAAGGAAATATCTTCACATACAAACTAGACAGAAGCATTCTCAGAAACTGCTTTGTGATGTGTGCATTCAACCCACAGAGTTGAACCTTCCTTTTGAGAGAGCAGTGTTGAAACGGTCTTTTGGAGTATCTGCAAGTGGATATTTGGAGCGATTTGAGGCCTATGATGGAAAAGGAAATATCTTCACATACAAACTACACAGAAGCATTCTCAGAAACTGCTTTGTGATGTGTGCATTCAACCGACAGATTTGAACTTTCCTTTGGAGAGGGAGGTTTTGAAACAGTCTTTTTGTAGTATCTGCAAGTGGATATTTGTAGTGACTTGGGGCCTCAGGTGGAAAAGGAAATACCTTCACATACAAAGTAGACAGAAGTATTCTCAGAAACTCCATTGTGATGTGTGCACTCAACTCACAGAGTTGAACCTTCCTTTTGAGAGAGCAGTTTTGAAACAGTCTTTTTGTAACGTCTGCATGTGGATATTTGGAGCGATTCGAGTAGTATGATGGAAAAGGAAATATCTTCACATACAAACTAAACAGAAGCATTCTCAGAAACATCTTGTGTTGTGTGCCTTCACCTAACAGAGTGGAACCGTTCTTTTGATAGAGCAGTTTTGAATCAGTCTTTTGGTAGGTCCTGCAAGTTTTCATTTGGAGCGCTTTGAAGCCTATGGTGGAAAAGGGAATATCTTCACAAAAAACTAGGCAGAAGCCTTCTCAGGAACTTCATTGAGATGTGTGCATTCAACTAACAGAGTTGAAACTGTCTTTTGACAGAGGAGGAATGAAACACTCCTTTTGTAGTATCTGATTGTGTGTATTTGGAACTCTTTGAGTTATTCGTTGGAAACGGGTATCTTCACATAAAAAGTAGACCCAAGCATTCTCAGAAGGTTCTTTGTGATGTGTGCGTTCAACTCACAGACTTGAAACTTTCTTTTGATAGAGCAGTGTTGAAACACACTTTTTGTAGAATCCACAAGTATTCCTTTGGAGCGTTTTGTTGCCTATGTGGGAAAAAGGAATATCTTCACTTAAAAACTAGACAGAAGCATTCTCTGAAACTCCTCTGTGAAGTGTGTGTTCAATTCACATCGTTGAACCTTTCTTTTGATAGAGCAGTGTTGAAACATACTTTTTGTAGAATCTGCAAGTGTCCATTTCGAGTTCTTTTGTGCGTATGTTGGAAAAAGTGATATCTTCACCTGAAAAATAGACAGAAGCATTCCAGAAACTGCTTTGTAACATGTGCATTCAACTCACAGTGTTGAACCTTCCTTTTGAGAGAGCGGTTTTGAAACAGTCTTTTTGTAGTATCTGCAAGTGGATATTTGCAGTGATTTGAGGCCGAAGAAGGAAAAGGAAATACCTTCAAATAAAAAACTAGACGGAAGCATTTTCAGAAACTGCCTTGTGATGTGTGCATTCAACTCACAGAGTTGAACCTTCCTTTTGAGAGAGAAGTTTTGAAACAGTCTTTTTGTAGTATTTGCAAGTGGATATTTGGAGCGATTTGTGGAGTATGGTGGAAAATGAAATACCTTCACATACAAAGTAGACAGAAGCATTCTCAGAAACTGCTTTGTGATGTGTGCATTTAAGTCACAGACTTGAAACTTCCTTTAGGTAGAGCAGTGTTGAAACACACTTTTTGTATAATCTACAAGTGTTCTTTGGAGTGCTTTGTTGCCTATGTTGGAAAAAGAAATATCTTCACATAAAAACTAGACAGAAGCATTCTCAGAAACTCCTTTGTGATGGGTTTGTTCAATTCACATTGTTGAACCTTTCTTTTGATACAGCAGGGTTGAAACAAACATTTTGTAGAATCTGCAAGTGTTCATTTCAAATGCTTTGTGGCCTATGTTGGAAAAAGTGATATCTTCACCTAAAAAATAGACAGAAGCATTCTCAGGAACTGCTTTGTAATATGTGCATTCAACTCACAGAGTTGAACCTTCCTTTTGAGAGAGCGGTTTTGAAACAGTCTTTTTGTAGTATCTGCAAGTGGATATTTGGAGCGATTTGAGGTCTAAGAAGGAAAAGGAAGTACCTTCAAATAAAAACTAGACAGAAGCTTTCTCAGAAACTGCTTTGTGATGTGTGCATTTAACTCAAAGTCTTGATCCTTACTTTTGTTAGAGCAGTGTTGAAACACACTTTTTGTAGAACCTGGTAGTGTTCATTTAGAGAGATTTGTTGCCTATGGTGGAAAAAGGATTATCTTCTCTTAAAAACTAGACAGAAGCATTCTTAGAAACTGCTTTGTGATGTGTGTGTTCAATTCACAGAGTTGAAACTTTCCTTTGACAGAGCAGGTTTGAAACACTGCTTCTGTAGAATCTGCTTGTGGATATTGGGAGCTCCTTGAGGAATACATTGTAAAAGGCATATCCTCACATACAAACTAAACAGAAGCATTCTCAGAAACTGCTTTGTGATGTGTGCATTCAACTCACAGAGTTGAACCTTCCATTTGAGAGAGCAGTGTTGAAACGATCTTTTTGTAGTATCTTCAATTGGATATTTGGAGCGATTTGAGGCCTATGATGGAAAAGGAAATATCTTCACATACAAACTAGACAGAAGCATTCTCAGAAACTGCTTTGTGATGTGTGCATTCAACCCACAGAGTTGAACCTTCCTTTTGAGAGAGCAGTGTTGAAACGGTCTTTTGTAGTATCTGCAAGTGGATATTTGGAGCGATTTGAAGCCTATGATGGAAAAGGAAATATCTTCACATACAAACTAGACAGAAGCATTCTCAGAAAGTGCTTTGTGATGTGTGCATTCAACCGACAGATTTGAACTTTCCTTTGGAGAGGGAGGTTTTGAAACAGTCTTTTTGTAGTATCTGCAAGTGGATATTTGTAGTGACTTGGGGCCTCAGGTGGAAAAGGAAATACTTTCACATACAAAGTAGACAGAAGTATTCTCAGAAACTCCATTGTGATGTGTGCACTCAACTCACAGAGTTGAACCTTCCTTTTGAGAGAGCAGTTTTGAAACAGTCTTTTTGTAACGTCTGCAGGTGGATATTTGGAGCGATTCGTGTAGTATGATGGAAAAGGAAATATCTTCACATACAAACTAAACAGAAGCATTCCCAGAAACTGCTTTCTGATGTGTGCACTCACCTCACAGAGTGGAACCGTTTTTTTGTCAGACCAGTTTTGAAACAGTCTTTTTGTAGGATCTGCATGTGTTCATTTGGAGCTCTTTGAAGCCTAAGGTGGAAAAGTAAATATATTCACGTAAAACCTACACCAAAGCCTTCTCAGGAACTTCATTGAGATGTGTGCATTCAACTAACAGAGTTGAAACTGTCTTATGACAGAGCAGTAATGAATCACTCCTTTCGTAGTATCTGATAGTGTATATTTGGAACTCTTTGAGTTATTCGTTGGAAACGGGTATCTTCACATAAAAAGTAGACCCAAGCATTCTCAGAAGGTCCTTTGTGATGTGTGCGTTCAACTCACAGACTTCAAACTTTCTTTTGATAGAGCAGTGTTGAAACACAGTTTTTGTAGAATCCACAAGTATTCATTTGGAGCGCTTTGTTGCCTATGTGGGAAAAAGGAATATCTTCACTTGAAAACTAGACAGAAGCATTCTCTGAAACTCCTCTGTGAAGTGTGTGTTCAATTCACATCGTTGAACCTTTCTTTTGATGGAGCAGTGTTGAAACATACTTTTTGTAGAATCTGCAAGTGTCCATTTCGAGTTCTTTTGTGCGTATGTTGGAAAAAGTGATATCTTCACCTGAAAAATAGACAGAAGCATTCCAGAAACTGCTTTGTAACATGTGCATTCAACTCACAGTGTTGAACCTTCCTTTTGAGAGAGCGGTTTTGAAACAGTCTTTTTGTAGTATCTGCAAGTGGATATTTGCAGTGATTTGAGGCCGAAGAAGGAAAAGGAAATACCTTCAAATAAAAAACTAGACGGAAGCATTTTCAGAAACTGCCTTGTGATGTGTGCATTCAACTCACAGAGTTGAACCTTCCTTTTGAGAGAGAAGTTTTGAAACAGTCTTTTTGCAGTATTTGCAAGTGGATATATGGAGCGATTTGTGGAGTATGGTGGAAAATGAAATATCTTCACATACAAAGTAGACAGAAGCATTCTCAGAAACTGCTTTGTGATGTGTGCATTTAAGTCACAGACTTGAAACTTCCTTTAGGTAGAGCAGTGTTGAAACACACTTTTTGTATAATCTACAAGTGTTCTTTGGAGTGCTTTGTTGCCTATGTTGGAAAAAGAAATATCTTCACATAAAAACTAGACAGAAGCATTCTCAGAAACTCCTTTGTGATGGGTTTGTTCAATTCACATTGTTGAACCTTTCTTTTGATACAGCAGTGTTGAAACAAACATTTTGTAGAATCTGCAAGGGTTCATTTCAAATGCTTTGTGGCCTATGTTGGAAAAAGTGATATGTTCACCAAAAAATAGACAGAAGCATTCTCAGGAACTGCTTTGTAATATGTGCATTCAACTCACAGAGTTGAACCTTCCTTTTGAGAGAGCGGTTTTGAAACAATCTTTTTGTAGTATCTGCAAGTGGATATTTGGAGCGATTTGAGGTTTAAGAAGGAAAAGGAAGTACCTTCAAATAAAAACTAGACAGAAGCTTTCTCAGAAACTGCTTTGTGATGTGTGCATTTAACTCAAAGTCTTGATCCTTAGTTTTGTTAGAGCAGTGTTGAAACACACTTTTTGTAGAACCTGGTAGTGTTCATTTGGAGAGATTTGTTGCCTATGGTGGAAAAAGGATTATCTTCTCTTAAAAACTAGACAGAAGCATTCTTAGAAACTGCTTTGTGATGTGTGTGTTCAATTCACAGAGTTGAAACTTTCCTTTGACAGAGCAGGTTTGAAACACTGCTTCTGTAGAATCTGCTTGTGGATATTGGGAGCTCCTTGAGGAATACGTTGTAAAAGGCATATCTTCACATACAAACTAGACAGAAGCATTCTCAGAAACTGCTTTGTGATGTGTGCATTCAACTCACAGAGTTGAACCTTCCATTTGAGAGAGCAGTGTTGAAACAGTCTTTTTGTAGTATCTTCAATTGGATATTTGGAGCGATTTGAGGCCTATGATGGAAAAGGAAATATCTTCACATACAAACTAGACAGAAGCATTCTCAGAAACTGCTTTGTGATGTGTGCATTCAACCCACAGAGTTGAACCTTCCTTTTGAGAGAGCAGTGTTGAAACGGTCTTTTGTAGTATCTGCAAGTGGATATTTGGAGCGATTTGAGGCCTATGATGGAAAAGGAAATAACTTCACATACAAAATTGACAGAAGCATTCTCAGAAACTGCTTTGTGATGTGTGCATTCAACCGACAGATTTGAACTTTCCTTTTGAGAGGGAGGTTTTGAAACAGTCTTTTTGTAGTATCTGCAAGTGGATATTTGTAGTGACTTGGGGCCTCAGATGGAAAAGGAAATACCTTCACATGCAAACTAGACAGAAGTATTCTCAGAAACTCCATTGTGATGTGTGCACTCAACTCACAGAGTTGAACCTTCCTTTTGAGAGAGGAGTTTTGAAACAGTCTTTTTGTAACGTCTGCAGGTGGATATTTGGAGCGATTCGAGTACTATGATGGAAAAGGAAATATCTTCACATACAAACTAAACTGAAGCATTCTCAGAAACTTCTTGTGATGTGTGCATTCACCTAACAGAGTGGAACCGTTCTTTTGATAGAGCAGTTTTGAATCAGTCTTTTGGTAGGACCTGCATGTTTTCATTTGGAGCGCTTTGAAGCCCATGGTGGAAAAGGGAATATCTTCACAAAAAACTAGGCAGAAGCCTTCTCAGGAACTTCATTGAGATGTGTGCATTCAACTAACAGAGTTGAAACTGTCTTTTGACAGAGGAGGAATGAAACACTCCTTTTGTACTATCTGATTGTGTATATTTGGAACTCTTTGAGTTATTCGTTGGAAACGGGTATCTTCACATAAAAAGTAGACCCAAGCATTCTCAGAAGGTTCTTTGTGATGTGTGCGTTCAACTCACAGACTTGAAACTTTCTTTTGATAGAGCAGTGTTGAAACACACTTTTTGTAGAATCCACAAGTATTCGTTTGGAGCGCTTTGTTGCCTATGTGGGAAAAAGGAATATCTTCACTTAAAAACTAGACAGAAGCATTCTCTGAAACTCCTCTGTGAAGTGTGTGTTCAATTCACATCGTTGAACCTTTCTTTTGATAGAGCAGTGTTGAAACATACTTTTTGTAGAATCTGCAAGTGTCCATTTCGAGTTCTTTTGTGCGTATGTTGGAAAAAGTGATATCTTCACCTGAAAAATAGACAGAAGCATTCCAGAAACTGCTTTGTAACATATGCATTCAACTCACACTGTTGAACCTTCCTTTTGAGAGAGCGGTTTTGAAACAGTCTTTTTGTAGTATCTGCAAGTGGATATTTGCAGTGATTTGAGGCCGAAGAAGGAAAAGGAAATACCTTCAAATAAAAAACTAGACGGAAGCATTTTCAGAAACTGCCTTGTGATGTGTGCATTCAACTCACAGAGTTGAACCTTCCTTTTGAGAGAGAAGTTTTGAAACAGTCTTTTTGTAGTATTTGCAAGTGGATATTTGGAGCGATTTGTGGAGTATGGTGGAAAATGAAATACCTTCACATACAAAGTAGACAGAAGCATTCTCAGAAACTGCTTTGTGATGTGTGCATTTAAGTCACAGACTTGAAACTTCCTTTAGGTAGAGCAGTGTTGAAACACACTTTTTGTATAATCTACAAGTGTTCTTTGGAGTGCTTTGTTGCCTATGTTGGAAAAAGAAATATCTTCACATAAAAACTAGACAGAAGCATTCTCAGAAACTCCTTTGTGATGGGTTTGTTCAATTCACATTGTTGAACCTTTCTTTTGATACAGCAGGGTTGAAACAAACATTTTGTAGAATCTGCAAGTGTTCATTTCAAATGCTTTGTGGCCTATGTTGGAAAAAGTGATATGTTCACCTAAGAAATAGACAGAAGCATTCTCAGGAACTGCTTTGTAATATGTGCATTCAACTCACAGAGTTGAACCTTCCTTTTGAGAGAGCGGTTTTGAAACAGTCTTTTTGTAGTATCTGCAAGTGGATATTTGGAGCGATTTGAGGTCTAAGAAGGAAAAGGAAGTACCTTCAAATAAAAACTAGACAGAAGCTTTCTCAGAAACTGCTTTGTGATGTGTGCATTTAACTCAAAGTCTTGATCCTTACTTTTGTTAGAGCAGTGTTGAAACACACTTTTTGTAGAACCTGGTAGTGTTCATTTGGAGAGATTTGTTGCCTATGGTGGAAAAAGGATTATCTTCTCTTAAAAACTAGACAGAAGCATTCTTAGAAACTGCTTTGTGATGTGTGTGTTCAATTCACAGAGTTGAAACTTTCCTTTGACAGAGCAGGTTTGAAACACTGCTTCTGTAGAATCTGCTTGTGGATATTGGGAGCTACTTGAGGAATACGTTGTAAAAGGCATATCTTCACATACAAACTAGACAGAAGCATTCTCAGAAACTGCTTTGTGATGTGTGCATTCAACTCACAGAGTTGAACCTTCCATTTGAGAGAGCAGTGTTGAAACGGTCTTTTTGTAGTATCTTCAATTGGATATTTGGAGCGATTTGAGGTCTATGATGGAAAAGGAAATATCTTCACATACAAACTAGACAGAAGCATTCTCAGAAACTGCTTTGTGATGTGTGCATTCAACCCACAGAGTTGAACCTTCCTTTTGAGAGAGCAGTGTTGAAACGGTCTTTTGTAGTATCTGCAAGTGGATATTTGGAGCGATTTGAGGCCTATGATGGAAAAGGAAATATCTTCACATACAAACTAGACAGAAGCATTCTCAGAAACTGCTTTGTGATGTGTGCATTCAACCGACAGATTTGAACTTTCCTTTGGAGAGGGAGGTTTTGAAACAGTCTTTTTGTAGTATCTGCAAGTGGATATTTGTAGTGACTTGGGGCCTCAGGTGGAAAAGGAAATACCTTCACATACAAAGTAGACAGAAGTATTCTCAGAAACTCCATTGTGATGTGTGCACTCAACTCACAGAGTTGAACCTTCCTTTTGAGAGAGCAGTTTTGAAACAGTCTTTTCGTAACGTCTGCATGTGGATATTTGGAGCGATTCGAGTAGTATGATGGAAAAGGAAATATCTTCACATACAAACTAAACAGAAGCATTCTCAGAAACTTCTTGTGATGTGTGCATTCACCTAACAGAGTGGAACCGTTCTTTTGATAGAGCAGTTTTGAATCAGTCTTTTGGTAGGACCTGCAAGTTTTCATTTGGAGTGCTTTGAAGCCCATGGTGGAAAAGGGACTATCTTCACAAAAAACTAGGCAGAAGCCTTCTCAGGAACTTCATTGAGATGTGTGCATTCAACTAACAGAGTTGAAACTGTCTTTTGACAGAGGAGGAATGAAACACTCCTTTTGTAGTATCTGATTGTGTGTATTTGGAACTCTTTGAGTTATTCGTTGGAAACGGGTATCTTCACATAAAAAGTAGACCCAAGCATTCTCAGAAGGTTCTTTGTGATGTGTGCGTTCAACTCACAGACTTGAAACTTTCTTTTGATAGAGCAGTGTTGAAACACACTTTTTGTAGAATCCACAAGTATTCCTTTGGAGCGCTTTGTTGCCTATGTGGGAAAAAGGAATATCTTCACTTAAAAACTAGACAGAAGCATTCTCTGAAACTCCTCTGTGAAGTGTGTGTTCAATTCACATCGTTGAACCTTTCTTTTGATAGAGCAGTGTTGAAACATACTTTTTGTAGAATCTGCAAGTGTCCATTTCGAGTTCTTTTGTGCGTATGCTGGAAAAAGTGATATCTTCACCTGAAAAATAGACAGAAGCATTCCAGAAACTGCTTTGTAACATGTGCATTCAACTCACAGTGTTGAACCTTCCTTTTGAGAGAGCGGTTTTGAAACAGTCTTTTTGTAGTATCTGCAAGTGGATATTTGCAGTGATTTGAGGCCGAAGAAGGAAAAGGAAATACCTTCAAATAAAAAACTAGACGGAAGCATTTTCAGAAACTGCCTTGTGATGTGTGCATTCAACTCACAGAGTTGAACCTTCCTTTTGAGAGAGAAGTTTTGAAACAGTCTTTTTGTAGTATTTGCAAGTGGATATTTGGAGCGATTTGTGGAGTATGGTGGAAAATGAAATATCTTCACATACAAACTAGACAGAAGCATTGTCAGAAACTGCTTTGTGATGTGTGCATTTAAGTCACAGACTTGAAACTTCCTTTAGGTAGAGCAGTGTTGAAACACACTTTTTGTATAATCTACAAGTGTTCTTTGGAGTGCTTTGTTGCCTATGTTGGAAAAAGAAATATCTTCACATAAAAACTAGACAGAAGCATTCTCAGAAACTCCTTTGTGATGGGTTTGTTCAATTCACATTGTTGAACCTTTCTTTTGATACAGCAGTGTTGAAACAAACATTTTGTAGAATCTGCAAGGGTTCATTTCAAATGCTTTGCGGCCTATGTTGGAAAAAGTGATATCTTCACCTAAAAAATAGACAGAAGCATTCTCAGGAACTGCTTTGTAATATGTGCATTCAACTCACAGAGTTGAACCTTCCTTTTGAGAGAGCGGTTTTGAAACAGTCTTTTTGTAGTATCTGCAAGTGGATATTTGGAGCGATTTGAGGTCTAAGAAGGAAAAGGAAGTACCTTCAAATAAAAACTAGACAGAAGCTTTCTCAGAAACTGCTTTGTGATGTGTGCATTTAACTCAAAGTCTTGATCCTTACTTTTGTTAGAGCAGTGTTGAAACACACTTTTTGTAGAACCTGGTAGTGTTCATTTGGAGAGATTTGTTGCCTATGGTGGAAAAATGATTATCTTCTCTTAAAAACTAGACAGAAGCATTCTTAGAAACTGCTTTGTGATGTGTGTGTTCAATTCACAGAGTTGAAACTTTCCTTTGACAGAGCAGGTTTGAAACACTGCTTCTGTAGAATCTGCTTGTGGATATTGGGAGCTCCTTGAGGAATACGTTGTAAAAGGCATATCTTCACATACAAACTAGACAGAAGCATTCTCAGAAACTGCTTTGTGATGTGTGCATTCAACTCACAGTAGTTGAACCTTCCATTTGAGAGAGGAGTGTTGAAACAGTCTTTTTGTAGTATCTTCAAGTGGATATTTGGAGCGATTTGAGGCCTATGATGGAAAAGGAAATATTTTCACATACAAACTAGACAGAAGCATTCTCAGAAACTGCTTCATGATGTGTGCATTCAACCCACAGAGTTGAACCTTCCTTTTGAGAGAGCAGTGTTGAAACGGTCTTTTGTAGTATCTGCAAGTGGATATTTGGAGCGATTTGAGGCCTATGATGGAAAAGGAAATATCTTCACATACAAACTAGACAGAAGCATTCTCAGAAACTGCTTTGTGATGTGTGCATTCAACCGACAGATTTGAACTTTCCTTTGGAGAGGGAGGTTTTGAAACAGTCTTTTTGTAGTATCTGCAAGTGGATATTTGTAGTGACTTGGGGCCTCAGGTGGAAAAGGAAATACCTTCACATACAAACTAGACAGAAGTATTCTCAGAAACTCCATTGTGATGTGTGCACTCAACTCACAGAGTTGAACCTTCCTTTTGAGAGAGCCGTTTTGAAACAGTCTTTTTGTAACGTCTGCAGGTGGATATTTGGAGCGATTCGTGTAGTATGATGGAAAAGGAAATATCTTCACATAGAAACTAAACAGAAGCATTCTCAGAAACTTCTTGTGATGTGTGCATTCACCTAACAGAGTGGAACCGTTCTTTTGATAGAGCAGTTTTGAATCAGTCTTTTGGTAGGACCTGCAAGTTTTCATTTGGAGTGCTTTGAAGCCCATGGTGGAAAAGGGACTATCTTCACAAAAAACTAGGCAGAAGCCTTCTCAGGAACTTCATTGAGATGTGTGCATTCAACTAACAGAGTTGAAACTGTCTTTTGACAGAGGAGGAATGAAACACTCCTTTTGTAGTATCTGATTGTGTGTATTTGGAACTCTTTGAGTTATTCGTTGGAAACGGGTATCTTCACATAAAAAGTAGACCCAAGCATTCTCAGAAGGTTCTTTGTGATGCGTGCGTTCAACTCACAGACTTGAAACTTTCTTTTGATAGAGCAGTGTTGAAACACACTTTTTGTAGAATCCACAAGTATTCCTTTGGAGCGCTTTGTTGCCTATGTGGGAAAAAGGAATATCTTCACTTAAAAACTAGACAGAAGCATTCTCTGAAACTCCTCTGTGAAGTGTGTGTTCAATTCACATCGTTGAACCTTTCTTTTGATAGAGCAGTGTTGAAACATACTTTTTGTAGAATCTGCAAGTGTCCATTTCGAGTTCTTTTGTGCGTATGCTGGAAAAAGTGATATCTTCACCTGAAAAATAGACAGAAGCATTCCAGAAACTGCTTTGTAACATGTGCATTCAACTCACAGTGTTGAACCTTCCTTTTGAGAGAGCGGTTTTGAAACAGTCTTTTTGTAGTATCTGCAAGTGGATATTTGCAGTGATTTGAGGCCGAAGAAGGAAAAGGAAATACCTTCAAATAAAAAACTAGACGGAAGCATTTTCAGAAACTGCCTTGTGATGTGTGCATTCAACTCACAGAGTTGAACCTTCCTTTTGAGAGAGAAGTTTTGAAACAGTCTTTTTGTAGTATTTGCAAGTGGATATTTGGAGCGATTTGTGGAGTATGGTGGAAAATGAAATATCTTCACATACAAACTAGACAGAAGCATTCTCAGAAACTGCTTTGTGATGTGTGCATTTAAGTCACAGACTTGAAACTTCCTTTAGGTAGAGCAGTGTTGAAACACACTTTTTGTATAATCTACAAGTGTTCTTTGGAGTGCTTTGTTGCCTATGTTGGAAAAAGAACTATCTTCACATAAAAACTAGACAGAAGCATTCTGAGAAACTCCTTTGTGATGGGTGTGTTCAATTCACATTGTTGAACCTTTCTTTTGATACAGCAGTGTTGAAACAAACATTTTGTAGAATCTGCAAGTGTTCATTTCAAATGCTTTGTGGCCTATGTTGGAAAAAGTGATATCTTCACCTAAAAAATAGACAGAAGCATTCTCAGGAACTGCTTTGTAATATGTGCATTCAACTCACAGAGTTGAACCTTCCTTTTGAGAGAGCGGTTTTGAAACAGTCTTTTTGTAGTATCTGCAAGTGGATATTTGGAGCGATTTGAGGTCTAAGAAGGAAAAGGAAGTACCTTCAAATTAAAACTAGACAGAAGCTTTCTCAGAAACTGCTTTGTGATGTGTGCATTTAACTCAAAGTCTTGATCCTTACTTTTGTTAGAGCAGTGTTGAAACACACTTTTTGTAGAACCTGGTAGTGTTCATTTGGAGAGATTTGTTGCTTATGGTGGAAAAAGGATTATCTTCTCTTAAAAACTAGACAGAAGCATTCTTAGAAACTGCTTTGTGATGTGTGTGTTCAATTCACAGAGTTGAAACTTTCCTTTGATAGAGCAGTTTTGAAACACTGCTTTTGTAGAATCTGCTTGTGGATATTGGGAGCTCTTTGAGGAATACGTTGTAAAAGGCATATCTTCACATACAAACTAGACAGAAGCATTCTCAGAAACTGCTTTGTGATGTGTGCATTCAACTCACAGAGTTGAACCTTCCATTTGAGAGAGCAGTGTTGAAACAGTCTTTTTGTAGTATCTGCAAGTGGATATTTGGAGCGATTTGAGGCCTATGATGGAAAAGGAAATATCTTCACATACAAACTAGACAGAAGCATTCTCAGAAACTGCTTTGTGATGTGTGCATTCAACCCACAGAGTTGAACCTTCCTTTTGAGAGAGCAGTGTTGAAACGGTCTTTTGTAGTATCTGCAAGTGGATATTTGGAGCGATTTGAGGCCTATGATGGAAAAGGAAATATCTTCACATACAAACTAGACAGAAGCATTCTCAGAAACTGCTTTGTGATGTGTGCATTCAACCGACAGATTTGAACTTTCCTTTGGAGAGGGAGGTTTTGAAACAGTCTTTTTGTAGTATCTGCAAGTGGATATTTGTAGTGACTTGGGGCCTCAGGTGGAAAAGGAAATACCTTCACATACAAAGTAGACAGAAGTATTCTCAGAAACTCCATTGTGATGTGTGCACTCAACTCACAGAGTTGAACCTTCCTTTTGAGAGAGCAGTTTTGAAACAGTCTTTTTGTAACGTCTGCATGTGGATATTTGGAGCGATTCGAGTACTATGATGGAAAAGGAAATATCTTCACATACAAACTAAACAGAAGCATTCTCAGATACTTCTTGTGATGTGTGCATTCACCTAACAGAGTGGAACCGTTCTTTTGATAGAGCAGTTTTGAATCAGTCTTTTGGTAGGACCTGCAAGTTTTCATTTGGAACGCTTTGAAGCCCATGGTGGAAAAGGGACTATCTTCACAAAAAACTAGGCAGAAGCCTTCTCAGGAACTTCATTGAGATGTGTGCATTCAACTAACAGAGTTGAAACTGTCTTTTGACAGAGGAGGAATGAAACACTCCTTTTGTAGTATCTGATTGTGTATATTTGGAACTCTTTGAGTTATTCGTTGGAAACGGGTATCTTCACCTAAAATGTAGACCCAAGCATTCTCAGAAGGTCCTTTGTGATGTGTGCGTTCAACTCACAGACTTGAAACTTTCTTTTGATAGAGCAGTGTTGAAACACAGTTTTTGTAGAATCCACAAGTATTCATTTGGAGCGCTTTGTTGCCTATGTGGGAAAAAGGAATATCTTCACTTAAAAACTAGACAGAAGCATTCTCTGAAACTCCTCTGTGAAGTGTGTGTTCAATTCACATCGTTGAACCTTTCTTTTGATGGAGCAGTGTTGAAACATACTTTTTGTAGAATCTGCAAGTGTCCATTTCGAGTTCTTTTGTGCGTATGTTGGAAAAAGTGATATCTTCACCTGAAAAATAGACAGAAGCATTCCAGAAACTGCTTTGTAACATGTGCATTCAACTCACAGTGTTGAACCTTCCTTTTGAGAGAGCGGTTTTGAAACAGTCTTTTTGTAGTATCTGCAAGTGGATATTTGCAGTGATTTGAGGCCGAAGAAGGAAAAGGAAATACCTTCAAATAAAAAACTAGACGGAAACATTTTCAGAAACTGCCTTGTGATGTGTGCATTCAACTCACAGAGTTGAACCTTCCTTTTGAGAGAGAAGTTTTGAAACAGTCTTTTTGTAGTATTTGCAAGTGGATATTTGGAGCGATTTGTGGAGTGTGGTGGAAAATGAAATATCTTCACATACAAACTAGACAGAAGCATTCTCAGAAACTGCTTTGTGATGTGTGCATTTAAGTCACAGACGTGAAACTTCCTTTAGATAAAGCAGTGTTGAAACACACTTTTTGTATAATCTACAAGTGTTCTTTGGAGTGCTTTGTTGCCTATGTTGGAAAAAGAAATATCTTCACATAAAAACTAGACAGAAGCATTCTCAGAAACTCCTTTGTGATGGGTTTGTTCAATTCACATTGTTGAACCTTTCTTTTGATACAGCAGTGTTGAAACAAACATTTTGTAGAATCTGCAAGGGTTCATTTCAAATGCTTTGTGGCCTCTGTTGGAAAAAGTGATATCTTCACGTAAAAAATAGACAGAAGCATTCTCAGGAACTGCTTTGTAATATGTGCATTCAACTCACAGAGTTGAACCTTCCTTTTGAGAGAGCGGTTTTGAAACAGTCTTTTTGTAGTATCTGCAAGTGGATATTTGGAGCGATTTGAGGTCTAAGAAGGAAAAGGAAGTACCTTCAAATAAAAACTAGACAGAAGCTTTCTCAGAAACTGCTTTGTGATGTGTGCATTTAACTCAAAGTCTTGATCCTTACTTTTGTTAGAGCAGTGTTGAAACACACTTTTTGTAGAACCTGGTAGTGTTCATTTGGAGAGATTTGTTGCCTATGGTGGAAAAAGGATTATCTTCTCTTAAAAACTAGACAGAAGCATTCTTAGAAACTGCTTTGTGATGTGGGCATTCAACCCACAGAGTTGAACCTTCCTTTTGAGAGAGCAGTGTTGAAACGGTCTTTTGTAGCATCTGCAAGTGGATATTTGGAGCGATTTGAGGCCTATGATGGAAAAGGAAATATCTTCACATACAAACTAGACAGAAGCATTCTCAGAAACTGCTTTGTGATGTGTGCATTCAACCGACAGATTTGAACTGTCCTTTTGAGAGGGAGGTTTTGAAACAGTCTTTTTGTAGTATCTGCAAGTGGATATTTGTAGTGACTTGGGGCCTCAGGTGGAAAAGGAAATACCTTCACATACAAAGTAGACAGAAGTATTCTCAGAAACTCCATTGTGATGTGTGCACTCAACTCACAGAGTTGAACCTTCCTTTTGAGAGAGCAGTTTTGAAACAGTCTTTTTGTAACGTCTGCAGGTGGATATTTGGAGCGATTCGTGTAGTATGATGGAAAAGGAAATATCTTCACATACAAACTAAACAGAAGCATTCACAGAAACTTCTTGTGATGTGTGCATTCACCTAACAGAGTGGAACCGTTCTTTTGATAGAGCAGTTTTGAATCAGTCTTTTGGTAGGACCTGCAAGTTTTCATTTGGAGCACTTTGAAGCCCATGGTGGAAAAGGGACTATCATCTTCACAAAAAACTAGGCAGAAGCCTTCTCAGGAACTTCATTGAGATGTGTGCATTCAACTAACAGAGTTGAAACTGTCTTTTGACAGAGGAGGAATGAAACACTCCTTTTGTAGTATCTGATTGTGTATATTTGGAACTCTTTGAGTTATTCGTTGGAAACGGGTATCTTCACATAAAAAGTAGACCCAAGCATTCTCAGAAGGTCCTTTGTGATGTGTGCATTCAACTCACAGACTTGAAACTTTCTTTTGATAGAGCAGTGTTGAAACAGAGTTTTTGTAGAATCCACAAGTATTCATTTGGAGCGCTTTGTTGCCTATGTGGGAAAAAGGAATATCTTCACTTAAAAACTAGACAGAAGCATTCTCTGAAACTCCTCTGTGAAGTGTGTGCTCAATTCACATCGTTGAACCTTTCTTTTGATGGAGCAGTGTTGAAACATACTTTTTGTAGAATCTGCAAGTGTCCATTTCGAGTTCTTTTGTGCGTATGTTGGAAAAAGTGATATCTTCACCTGAAAAATAGACAGAAGCATTCCAGAAACTGCTTCGTAACATGTGCATTCAACTCACAGTGTTGAACCTTCCTTTTGAGAGAGCGGTTTTGAAACAGTCTTTTTGTAGTATCTGCAAGTGGATATTTGCAGTGATTTGAGGCCGAAGAAGGAAAAGGAAATACCTTCAAATAAAAAACTAGACTGAAGCATTTTCGGAAACTGCCTTGTGATGTGTGCATTCAACTCACAGAGTTGAACCTTCCTTTTGAGAGAGAAGTTTTGAAACAGTCTTTTTGTAGTATTTGCAAGTGGATATTTGGAGCGATTTGTGGAGTATGGTGGAAAATGAAATATCTTCACATACAAACTAGACAGAAGCATTGTCAGAAACTGCTTTGTGATGTGTGCATTTAAGTCACAGACTTGAAACTTCCTTTAGGTAGAGCAGTGTTGAAACACACTTTTTGTATAATCTACAAGTGTTCTTTGGAGTGCTTTGTTGCCTATGTTGGAAAAAGAAATATCTTCACATAAAAACTAGACAGAAGCATTCTCAGAAACTCCTTTGTGATGGGTGTGTTCAATTCACATTGTTGAACCTTTCTTTTGATACAGCAGTGTTGAAACAAACATTTTGTAGAATCTGCAAGTGTTCATTTCAAATGCTTTGTGGCCTATGTTGGAAAAAGTGATATCTTCACCTAAAAAATAGACAGAAGCATTCTCAGGAACTGCTTTGTAATATGTGCATTCAACACACAGAGTTGAACCTTCCTTTTGAGAGAGCGGTTTTGAAACAGTCTTTTTGTAGTATCTGCAA
Organism: Homo sapiens; assembly: GCF_000001405.40. Classification (NCBI taxonomy): domain Eukaryota; kingdom Metazoa; phylum Chordata; class Mammalia; order Primates; family Hominidae; genus Homo; species Homo sapiens. The sequence goes on from NC_000005.10 coordinate 46,613,788, forward strand.
GTGGATATTTGGAGCGATTTGAGGTCTAAGAAGGAAAAGGAAGTACCTTCAAATAAAAACTAGACAGAAGCTTTCTCAGAAACTGCTTTGTGATGTGTGCATTTAACTCAAAGTCTTGATCCTTACTTTTGTTAGAGCAGTGTTGAAACACACTTTTTGTAGAACCTGGTAGTGTTCATTTGGAGAGATTTGTTGCCTATGGTGGAAAAATGATTATCTTCTCTTAAAAACTAGACAGAAGCATTCTTAGAAACTGCTTTGTGATGTGTGTGTTCAATTCACAGAGTTGAAACTTTCCTTTGACAGAGCAGGTTTGAAACACTGCTTCTGTAGAATCTGCTTGTGGATATTGGGAGCTCCTTGAGGAATACGTTGTAAAAGGCATATCTTCACATACAAACTAGACAGAAGCATTCTCAGAAACTGCTTTGTGATGTGTGCATTCAACTCACAGAGTTGAACCTTCCATTTGAGAGAGCAGTGTTGAAACGGTCTTTTTGTAGTATCTTCAATTGGATATTTGGAGCGATTTGAGGCCTATGATGGAAAAGGAAATATCTTCACATACAAACTAGACAGAAGCATTCTCAGAAACTGCTTTGTGATGTGTGCATTCAACCCACAGAGTTGAACCTTCCTTTTGAGAGAGCAGTGTTGAAACGGTCTTTTGTAGTATCTGCAAGTGGATATTTGGAGCGATTTGAAGCCTATGATGGAAAAGGAAATATCTTCACATACAAACTAGACAGAAGCATTCTCAGAAACTGCTTTGTGATGTGTGCATTCAACCGACAGATTTGAACTTTCCTTTGGAGAGGGAGGTTTTGAAACAGTCTTTTTGTAGTATCTGCAAGTGGATATTTGTAGTGACTTGGGGCCTCAGGTGGAAAAGGAAATACCTTCACATACAAAGTAGACAGAAGTATTCTCAGAAACTCCATTGTGATGTGTGCACTCAACTCACAGAGTTGAACCTTCCTTTTGAGAGAGCAGTTTTGAAACAGTCTTTTTGTAACGTCTGCAGGTGGATATTTGGAGCGATTCGTGTAGTATGATGGAAAAGGAAATATCTTCACATACAAACGAAACAGAAGCATTCTCAGAAACTTCTTGTGATGTGTGCGTTCACCTAGCAGAGTGGAACCGTTCTTTTGATAGAGCCGTTTTGAATCAGTCTTTTGGTAGGACCTGCAAGTTTTCATTTGGAGCGCTTTGAAGCCCATGGTGGAAAAGGGACTATCTTCACAAAAAACTAGGCAGAAGCCTTCTCAGGAACTTCATTGAGATGTGTGCATTCAACTAACAGAGTTGAAACTGTCTTTTGACAGAGGAGGAATGAAACACTCCTTTTGTAGTATCTGATTGTGTATATTTGGAACTCTTTGAGTTATTCGTTGGAAACGGGTATCTTCACATAAAAAGTAGACCCAAGCATTCTCAGAAGGTTCTTTGTGATGTGTGCGTTCGACTCACAGACTTGAAACTTTCTTTTGATAGAGCAGTGTTGAAACACACTTTTTGTAGAATCCACAAGTATTCGTTTGGAGCGCTTTGTTGCCTATGTGGGAAAAAGGAATATCTTCACTTAAAAACTAGACAGAAGCATTCTCTGAAACTCCTCTGTGAAGTGTGTGTTCAATTCACATCGTTGAACCTTTCTTTTGATAGAGCAGTGTTGAAACATACTTTTTGTAGAATCTGCAAGTGTCCATTTCGAGTTCTTTTGTGCGTATGTTGGAAAAAGTGATATCTTCACCTGAAAAATAGACAGAAGCATTCCAGAAACTGCTTTGTAACATGTGCATTCAACTCACAGTGTTGAACCTTCCTTTTGAGGGAGCGGTTTTGAAACTGTCTTTTTGTAGTATCTGCAAGTGGATATTTGCAGTGATTTGAGGCCGAAGAAGGAAAAGGAAATACCTTCAAATAAAAAACTAGACGGAAGCATTTTCAGAAACTGCCTTGTGATGTGTGCATTCAACTCACAGAGTTGAACCTTCCTTTTGAGAGAGAAGTTTTGAAACAGTCTTTTTGTGGTATTTGCAAGTGGATATTTGGAGCGATTTGTGGAGTATGGTGGAAAATGAAATATCTTCACATACAAACTAGACAGAAGCATTCTCAGAAACTGCTTTGTGATGTGTGCATTTAACTCACAGACTTGAAACTTCCTTTAGGTAGAGCAGTGTTGAAACACACTTTTTGTATAATCTACAAGTGTTCTTTGGAGTGCTTTGTTGCCTATGTTGGAAAAAGAAATATCTTCACATAAAAACTAGACAGAAGCATTCTGAGAAACTCCTTTGTGATGGGTTTGTTCAATTCACATTGTTGAACCTTTCTTTTGATACAGCAGTGTTGAAACAAACATTTTGTAGAATCTGCAAGTGTTCATTTCAAATGCTTTGTGGCCTATGTTGGAAAAAGTGATATCTTCACCTAAAAAATAGACAGAAGCATTCTCAGGAACTGCTTTGTAATATGTGCATTCAACTCACAGAGTTGAACCTTCCTTTTGAGAGAGCGGTTTTGAAAGAGTCTTTTTGTAGTATCTGCAAGAGGATATTTGGAGCGATTTGAGGTCTAAGAAGGAAAAGGAAATACCTTCAAATAAAAACTAGACAGAAGCTTTCTCAGAAACTGCTTTGTGATGTGTGCATTTAACTCAAAGTCTTGATCCTTACTTTTGTTAGAGCAGTGTTGAAACACACTTTTTGTAGAACCTGGTAGTGTTCATTTGGAGAGATTTGTTGCCTATGGTGGAAAAATGATTATCTTCTCTTAAAAACTAGACAGAAGCATTCTTAGAAACTGCTTTGTGATGTGTGTGTTCAATTCACAGAGTTGAAACTTTCCTTTGACAGAGCAGGTTTGAAACACTGCTTCTGTAGAATCTGCTTGTGGATATTGGGAGCTCCTTGAGGAATACGTTGTAAAAGGCATATCTTCACATACAAACTAGACAGAAGCATTCTCAGAAACTGCTTTGTGATGTGTGCATTCAACTCACAGAGTTGAACCTTCCATTTGAGAGAGCAGTGTGGAAACGGTCTTTTTGTAGTATCTTCAATTGGATATTTGGAGCGATTTGAGGCCTATGATGGAAAAGGAAATATCTTCACATACAAACTAGACAGAAGCATTCTCAGAAACTGCTTTGTGATGTGTGCATTCAACCCACAGAGTTGAACCTTCCTTTTGAGAGAGCAGTGTTGAAACGGTCTTTTGTAGTATCTGCAAGTGGATATTTGGAGCGATTTGACGCCTATGATGGAAAAGGAAATATCTTCACATACAAACTAGACAGAAGCATTCTCAGAAACTGTTTTGTGATGTGTGCATTCAACCGACAGATTTGAACTTTCCTTTGGAGAGGGACGTTTTGAAACAGTCTTTTTGTAGTATCTGCAAGTGGATATTTGTAGTGACTTGGGGCCTCAGGTGGAAAAGGAAATACCTTCACATACAAAGTAGATAGAAGTATTCTCAGAAACTGCATTGTGATGTGTGCACTCAACTCACAGAGTTGAACCTTCCATTGGAGAGAGCAGTGTTGAAACGGTATTTTTGTAGTATCTGCAAGTGGATATTTGGAGCGATTTGAGGCCTATGATGGAAAAGGAAATATCTTCACATACAAACTAGACAGAAGGATTCTCAGGAACTGCTTTGTGATGTGTGCATTCAACTCACACAGTTGAACCTTCCTTTTGGGAGAGCAGTTTTGAATCAGTCTTTTTGTAGGACCTGCAAGTTTTCATTTGGAGCGCTGTGAAGCCTATGGTGGAAAAGGGAATATCTTCACAAAAAACTAGGCAGAAGCCTTCTCAGGAACTTCATTGAGATGTGTGCATTCAACTAACAGAGTTGAAACTGTCTTTTGACAGAGGAGGAATGAAACACTCCTTTTGTAGTATCTGATTGTGTGTATTTGGAACTCTTTGAGTTATTCGTTGGAAACGGGTATCTTCACATAAAAAGTAGACCCAAGCATTCTCAGAAGGTTCTTTGTGATGTGTGCGTTCAACTCACAGACTTGAAACTTTCTTTTGATAGAGCAGTGTTGAAACACACTTTTTGTAGAATCCACAAGTATTCCTTTGGAGCGCTTTGTTGCCTATGTGGGAAAAAGGAATATCTTCACTTAAAAACTAGACAGAAGCATTCTCTGAAACTCCTCTGTGAAGTGTGTGTTCAATTCACATCGTTGAACCTTTCTTTTGATAGAGCAGTGTTGAAACATACTTTTTGTAGAATCTGCAAGTGTCCATTTCGAGTTCTTTTGTGCGTATGCTGGAAAAAGTGATATCTTCACCTGAAAAATAGACAGAAGCATTCCAGAAACTGCTTTGTAACATGTGCATTCAACTCACAGTGTTGAACCTTCCTTTTGAGAGAGCGGTTTTGAAACAGTCTTTTTGTAGTATCTGCAAGTGGATATTTGCAGTGATTTGAGGCCGAAGAAGGAAAAGGAAATACCTTCAAATAAAAAACTAGAAGGAAGCATTTTCAGAAACTGCCTTGTGATGTGTGCATTCAACTCACAGAGTTGAACCTTCCTTTTGAGAGAGAAGTTTTGAAACAGTCTTTTTGTAGTATTTGCAAGTGGATATTTGGAGCGATTTGTGGAGTATGGTGGAAAATGAAATATCTTCACATACAAACTAGACAGAAGCATTGTCAGAAACTGCTTTGTGATGTGTGCATTTAAGTCACAGACTTGAAACTTCCTTTAGGTAGAGCAGTGTTGAAACACACTTTTTGTATAATCTACAAGTGTTCTTTGGAGTGCTTTGTTGCCTATGTTGGAAAAAGAAATATCTTCACATAAAAACTAGACAGAAGCATTCTCAGAAACTCCTTTGTAATGGGTTTGTTCAATTCACATTGTTGAACCTTTCTTTTGATACAGCAGTGTTGAAACAAACATTTTGTAGAATCTGCAAGGGTTCATTTCAAATGCTTTGCGGCCTATGTTGGAAAAAGTGATATCTTCACCTAAAAAATAGACAGAAGCATTCTCAGGAACTGCTTTGTAATATGTGCATTCAACTCACAGAGTTGAACCTTCCTTTTGAGAGAGCGGTTTTGAACAGTCTTTTTGTAGTATCTGCAAGTGGATATTGGGAGCGATTTGAGGTCTAAGAAGGAAAAGGAAGTAACTTCAAATAAAAACTAGACAGAAGCTTTCTCAGAAACTGCTTTGTGATGTGTGCATTTAACTCAAAGTCTTGATCCTTACTTTTGTTAGAGCAGTGTTGAAACACACTTTTTGTAGAAACTGGTAGTGTTCATTTGGAGAGATTTGTTGCCTATGGTGGAAAAAGGATTATCTTCTCTTAAAAACTAGACAGAAGCATTCTTAGAAACTGCTTTGTGATGTGTGTGTTCAATTCACAGAGTTGAAACTTTCCTTTGACAGAGCAGGTTTGAAACACTGCTTCTGTAGAATCTGCTTGTGGATATTGGGAGCTCCTTGAGGAATACGTTGTAAAAGGCATATCTTCACATACAAACTAGACAGAAGCATTCTCAGAAACTGCTTTGTGATGTGTGCATTCAACTCACAGAGTTGAACCTTCCATTTGAGAGAGCAGTGTTGAAACAGTCTTTTTGTAGTATCTGCAAGTGGATATTTGGAGCGATTTGAGGCCTATGATGGAAAAGGAAATATCTTCACATACAAACTAGACAGAAGCATTCTCAGAAACTGCTTTGTGATGTGTGCATTCAACCCACAGAGTTGAACCTTCCTTTTGAGAGAGCAGTGTTGAAACGGTCTTTTGTAGTATCTGCAAGTGGATATTTGGAGCGATTTGAGGCCTATGACGGAAAAGGAAATATCTTCACATACAAACTAGACAGAAGCATTCTCAGAAACTGCTTTGTGATGTGTGCATTCAACCGACAGATTTGAACTTTCCTTTGGAGAGGGAGGTTTTGAAACAGTCTTTTTGTAGTATCTGCAAGTGGATATTTGTAGTGACTTGGGGCCTCAGGTGGAAAAGGAAATACCTTCACATACAAAGTAGACAGAAGTATTCTCAGAAACTCCATTGTGATGTGTGCACTCAACTCACAGAGTTAAACCTTCCTTTTGAGAGAGCAGTTTTGAAACAGTCTTTTTGTAACGTCTGCAGGTGGATATTTGGAGCGATTCGAGTAGTATGATGGAAAAGGAAATATCTTCACATACAAACTAAACAGAAGCATTCTCAGAAATTTCTTGTGATGTGTGCATTCTCCTAACAGAGTGGAACCGTTCTTTTGATAGAGCAGTTTTGAATCAGTCTTTTGGTAGGACCTGCAAGTTTTCATTTGGAGCGCTTTGAAGCCCATGGTGGAAAAGGGACTATCTTCACAAAAAACTAGGCAGAAGCCTTCTCAGGAACTTCATTGAGATGTGTGCATTCAACTAACAGAGTTGAAACTGTCTTTTGACAGAGGAGGAATGAAACACTCCTTTTGTAGTATCTGATTGTGTATATTTGGAACTCTTTGAGTTATTCGTTGGAAACGGGTATCTTCACATAAAAAGTAGACCCAAGCATTCTCAGAAGGTTCTTTGTGATGTGTGCGTTCAACTCACAGACTTGAAACTTTCTTTTGATAGAGCAGTGTTGAAACACACTTTTTGTAGAATCCACAAGTATTCCTTTGGAGCGCTTTGTTGCCTGTGTGGGAAAAAGGAATATCTTCACTTAAAAACTAGACAGAAGCATTCTCTGAAACTCCTCTGTGAAGTGTGTGTTCAATTCACATCGTTGAACCTTTCTTTTGATAGAGCAGTGTTGAAACATACTTTTTGTAGAATCTGCAAGTGTCCATTTCGAGTTCTTCTGTGCGTATGCTGGAAAAAGTGATATCTTCACCTGAAAAATAGACAGAAGCATTCCAGAAACTGCTTTGTAACATGTGCATTCAACTCACAGTGTTGAACCTTCCTTTTGAGAGAGCGGTTTTGAAACAGTCTTTTTGTAGTATCTGCAAGTGGATATTTGCAGTGATTTGAGGCCGAAGAAGGAAAAGGAAATACCTTCAAATAAAAAACTAGACGGAAGCATTTTCAGAAACTGCCTTGTGATGTGTGCATTCAACTCACAGAGTTGAACCTTCCTTTTGAGAGAGAAGTTTTGAAACAGTCTTTTTGTAGTATTTGCAAGTGGATATTTGGAGCGATTTGTGGAGTATGGTGGAAAATGAAATATCTTCACATACAAACTAGACAGAAGCATTCTCAGAAACTGCTTTGTGATGTGTGCATTTAAGTCACAGACTTGAAACTTCCTTTAGGTAGAGCAGTGTTGAAACACACTTTTTGTATAATCTACAAGTGTTCTTTGGAGTGCTTTGTTGCCTATGTTGGAAAAAGAAATATCTTCACATAAAAACTAGACAGAAGCATTCACAGAAACTCCTTTGTGATGGGTTTGTTCAATTCACATTGTTGAACCTTTCTTTTGATACAGCAGTGTTGAAACAAACATTTTGTAGAATCTGCAAGTGCTCATTTCAAATGCTTTGTGGCCTATGTTGGAAAAAGAGATACCTTCACCTAAAAAATAAACAGAAGCATTCTCAGGAACTGCTTTGTAATATGTGCATTCAAGCTCACAGAGTTGAACCTTCCTTTTGAGAGAGCGGTTTTGAAACAGTCTTTTTGTAGTATCTGCAAGTGGATATTTGGAGCGATTTGAGGTCTAAGAAGGAAAAGGAAGTACCTTCAAATAAAAACTAGACAGAAGCTTTCTCAGAAACTGCTTTGTGATGTGTGCATTTAACTCAAAGTCTTGATCCTTACTTTAGTTAGAGCAGTGTTGAAACACACTTTTTGTAGAACCTGGTAGTGTTCATTTGGAGAGATTTGTTGCCTATGGTGGAAAAAGGATTATCTTCTCTTAAAAACTAGACAGAAGCATTCTCAGAAAAAACTTTGTGATGTGTCTGTTTAATTCACAGAGTTGAACCTTTCTTTTGAAAGAGCAATTTTGAAACACTGCTTTTGTAGAATCTGCTTGTGGATAATTGGAGCTCTTTGAGGATGATGTTGTAAACGGGATATCCTCACATACAAACTAGACAGAAGCATTCTCAGAAACTGCTTTGTGATGTGTGCATTCAACTCACAGAGTTGAACCTTCCTTTTCAGAGAGAGCAGTTTTGAAACAGTCTTTTTGTAGTATCTGCAAGCGGATATTTGGAGCGATTTGAGGCCTATGATGGAAAAGGAAATATCTTCACATAAAAACTAGACAGAAGCATTCTCAGAAACTGCTTTGTGATGTGTGCATTCAACCCACAGAGTTGAACCTTCCTTTTGAGAGAGCAGTGTTGAAACGGTCTTTTGTAGTATCTGCAAGTGGATATTTGGAGCGATTTGAAGCCTATGATGGAAAAGGAAATATCTTCACATACAAACTAGACAGAAGCATTCTCAGAAACTGCTTTGTGATGTGTGCATTCAACCGACAGATTTGAACTTTCCTTTGGAGAGGGAGGTTTTGAAACAGTCTTTTTATAGTATCTGCAAGTGGATATTTGTAGTGACTTGGGGCCTCAGGTGGAAAAGGAAATACCTTCACATACAAAGTAGACAGAAGTATTCTCAGAAACTCCATTGTGATGTGTGCACTCAACTCACAGAGTTGAACCTTCCTTTTGAGAGAGCAGTTTTGAAACAGTCTTTTTGTAACGTCTGCAGGTGGATATTTGGAGCGATTCGTGTAGTATGATGGAAAAGGAAATATCTTCACATACAAACTAAACAGAAGCATTCTCAGAAACTTCTTGTGATGTGTGCATTCACCTAACAGAGTGGAACCGTTCTTTTGAGAGAGCAGTTTTGAAGCAGTCTTTTTGTAGGACCTGCAAGTTTTCATTTGGAGCGCTGTGAAGCCTATGGTGGAAAAGGGAATATCTTCACAAAAAACTAGGCAGAAGCCTTCTCAGGAACTTCATTGAGATGTGTGCATTCAACTAACAGAGTTGAAACTGTCTTTTGACAGAGCAGGAATGAAACACTCCTTTTGTAGTATCTGATTGTGTATATTTGGAACTCTTTGAGTTATTCGCTGGAAACGGGTATCTTCACATAAAAAGTAGACCCAAGCATTCTCAGAAAGTTCTTTGTGATGTGTGCATTCAACTCACAGACTTGAAACTTTCTTTTGATAGAGCAGTGTTGAAACACACTTTTTGTAGAATCCACAAGTATTCATTTGAAGCCCTTTGTTGCCTATGTGGGAAAAAGTAATATCTTCACTTAAAAACTAGACAGAAGCATTCTCTGAAACTCCTTTGTGATGTGTGTGTTCAATTCATATCGTTGAACCTTTCTTTTGATAGAGCAGTGTTGAAACATACTTTTTGTAGAATCTGCAAGTGTCCATTTTGAGTTCTTTTTTGCGTATGTTCGAAAAAGTGATATCTTCACCTGAAAAATAGACAGAAGCATTCCAGAAACTGCTTCGTAACATGTGCATTCAACTCACAGTGTTGAACCTTCCTTTTGAGAGAGCGGTTTTGAAACAGTCTTTTTGTAGTATCTGCAAGTGGATATTTGCAGTGATTTGAGGCCGAAGAAGGAAAAGGAAATACCTTCAAATAAAAAACTAGACTGAAGCATTTTCAGAAACTGCCTTGTGATGTGTGCATTCAACTCACAGAGTTGAACCTTCCTTTTGAGAGAGAAGTTTTGAAACAGTCTTTTTGTAGTATTTGCAAGTGGATATTTGGAGTGATTTGTGGAGTATGGTGGAAAATGAAATATCTTCACATACAAACTAGACAGAAGCATTCTCAGAAACTGCTTTGTGATGTGTGCATTTAAGTCACAGACTTGAAACTTCCTTTAGGTAGAGCAGTGTTGAAACACACTTTTTGTATAATCTACAAGTGTTCTTTGGAGTGCTTTGTTGCCTATGTTGGAAAAAGAAATATCTTCACATAGAAACTAGACAGAAGCATTCTCAGAAACTCCTTTGTGATGGGTGTGTTCAATTCACATTGTTGAACCTTTCTTTTGATACAGCAGTGTTGAAACAAACATTTTGTAGAATCTGCAAGTGTTCATTTCAAATGCTTTGTGGCCTATGTTGGAAAAAGTGATATCTTCACCTAAAAAATAGACAGAAGCATTCTCAGGAACTGCTTTGTAATATGTGCATTCAACTCACAGAGTTGAACCTTCCTTTTGAGAGAGCGGTTTTGAAACAGTCTTTTTGTAGTATCTGCAAGTGGATATTTGGAGCGATTTGAGGTCTAAGAAGGAAAAGGAAGTACCTTCAAATAAAAACTAGACAGAGCTGGGCACGTGGATCACGAGGTCAAGAGATCAAGACCATCCTGGCCAACATGGTGAAACCCCGTCTCTACTAAAAATACAAAAATTAGCTGGGCGTGGTTAACTCAAAGTCTTGATCCTTTCTTTTGTTAGAGCAGTGTTGAAACACACTTTTTGTAGAACCTGGTAGTGTTCATTTGGAGAGATTTGTTGCCTATGGTGGAAAAAGGATTATCTTCTCTTAAAAACTAGACAGAAG